>NT_167246.2:2050501-2246593 GCF_000001405.40 Homo sapiens
GGCCATCTCGATCTCACTCAGGTACTGAGCAGACACCTTTTCCTGCTTGGCTTTAGCTTCCTGTCCAAGCAGAGATCAGGTAGGAAATGTCAGGGCAGGGGGAGAAAGGCCACGGTGACAGCCTGCTTCCCACCAAGGTTCTCTTTCTGCCTCATGTATTTTCCCTGCTCACCCAGCACCCCTGCTTCTTCTCAGTTGTGCCACTTCTATCCCCTTTCCCACTAAGCAACCCCCATCTCTCTCACCCGGATCCCAGCATCTCTCTTGGCCTCTGCTTCTCCAATCCGTGCATCTTTTTGGACTTGAGCTGTTCGAGCCTTCCCCAAAGAGTGCAAATAGTCCTGTGGGAGAGATGTAGAAATTAGTCCTTTGGAGGGCTTAAGAGATGGGAGCAAGGAAGTGGGGAAGGATCAATTGCCTAGTTTTACCTGGTCATCGTGAATGTCCTTCAGAGTGTAGCTAACCACACTGATGCCCATGTTGACCAGGTCTGAGGAGGCCACTTTGAAAACCTGTTCTGAGAATTTCTGCCTGTCCTTATAGATCTCCTGTGATAACAGGATGGTGGGGAGAAGGGATGTAAGTTTTTTTTTTTTTTTTTTTTTTGCTCACTGCAACCTCTGCCTCCTGGGTTCAAGTGATTCTCCTGCCTCAGCCTCCCAAGTAGCTGGGATTACCGACACCCATCACCATACCCAGCTAATTTTTGTATTTGTAGTAGAGAAGGGGTTTCACCAGGTTGGCTAGGCTGGTCTCGAACTCCTGACCTCAAGTGATCTGCCCACCTTGGCATCCCAAAGTGCTGGGATTACAGGCATGAACCACCCTGCCCGGCCGGGATGTATGCTCTTGGATCCACTGTCTCTCACAGACTAGTGTGGGCCTTGGGCCCCCCTCATTTTGACATCCTTCCAGATGGTTCCCTGCCCCTAGGCCAACCTCCACAGTCATGTGGGCCATGATGGCCCTCTGGTGGCCCTCTAACGTCTCCAGGGCAATGTGGGCAATCTCAGCCTCCGTCTTCCCCAGGAACATCTGACAGGCGGCCGCCAACATCTCCTTGTTCTGCCCCTGGATTTTTACCTGTAGCCAGAGTAGGGGTAGGAAAGGTGTGGTGGGGGTCTCATGAAGTCAGAGAAAAAGCAGAGAGAGAAGGGAGAGCCCTCTAAGAAATGCTTCTTCCATTTCAGGGAAAGAAAGGAGGAGGAGGCAAGTGCCTTGGGGTGCCTGGAAAAGATGAGACTAGCAGAGGAACTTCTCTGCAGGCAAGGGTTGAGAAGACTGTGGCCAGAAGATGTCTTAATGTCTGGGAGAGAGGGTGATGGGGAAGTGGACTGTGGGGAAAAGGCTCTGAAAGCTTCACCTGGGCAATGCCAGTGACTGAGATGGGGACCCCATGGCGAGTGTAAACCTTTTCACTCTTGACATTGAGGGTCAGTGTGTTGAGAGAGATCCTAGGGGAAAAAGAAGGGACAGACAGTAAGAAGAGGAGGAAAAAGAGAAAACGGAGGTCCCCCTTCCCTGGTTCCCTTCTTGCCTACCTCTGGATCTGTTGGATGCAGGGCAGGACAAAGACACGCCCTCCAGCCACCATGACTGGGGGGCTTCGGCAGAACCCTGCAAGGTGTGGGGCAGTGAGGAACGGTGGCAGAGCTTGAATGTGGAAGACTGAGGAACTGGCGGGGGTGAGGGGACAGCAACCCACAGGAGAGAATCTGGGAGCTGGAGGGGAAGCAGTCTGGGCCTTGGAATGGTGGGAATCAAACTGGGCAGTTCGTGGCCATCAAGGGGCAGAAGTCTGGTGCTGGGAAGTTGGTAGGGAGAGGGAGAAGGGGCAGAGGCCAGACTCACAGGGGTTCTGGGGTCACTGGCTGGGAAGGGAACAACAGTACTTACCGGAGACCACCATGGCCTCATTTGGGCCACAAGTGAAAAACATGGTTCAGGCTGGAGCTGGAGGAGAGGGAGGGAAAGCCTTTGCGGATGGGGAAGGCGCGCTGTGGCGTCCACAGGGGCCCATCCTTTCCCTTTCCCGTCAGGCCCTCCCAGTCTGCATCCGCCACGGCCCGTCCCTTCTACACCCATGGGTCCGCTAAGGCTTTTCCCTACAAAATCCTTAAGATCCCCAGCTACCTCTTCTCCGCCTGCGTATGGTCCCTCCCTTCCCCTCGCCGCTCCCTTTGATAAAGGTCCCCCGCGCCCAGAGGCCTGCAGACCTTTCCCCTCTCTCCCTGCTTCTCGGCAGCCCCAGGCTCCATCTCCCCTCCCCCACTCACCTTCCGGGACGCGGGCGGCAGCCCGGCTGGGGTCTCGGGAAGGGCGGGGTCGCGCAGGGACCTGGGAGCCGGGCAGGGGCCGCTCGCAGACCAGCTTTCCTGGGAGCTGGCCCCGCTCCCGCGTTCCCCACCCTGCCGCACCCCGTTGCTGCGGCAGACGCGACCCCGCCCCCCGCAACGGACTAAGCACCCCCACTTCGCCCCGCCTCGGCCCAGTGCGCTCGGCCCGCCCCTTTCCCGGCAGGCCCCGCTAGAGTCCGCAGCCCGCCCGCCCGCTGGCTCTCGGGCCCAGCCGGGCTGCCTGGTTAGCCCGGGGAGGGCCACATCCCTGCCGCCCCAGTCACCGCCCTTCTTGAGCCGGGAATCCCGCCCACGCCGCGCCACGCTCCGCCCCCGGGTGAGGGACTTGACCTCCGCCTGGCACCCTGGCGTAAGGGTGATTGCCACATCTCGGATTCGCCGCGGGGCAACTACCTGGGAAAACCGCAGACTGGGCAATGAAAGACTACATCCGGCAACCGGATGCTGGGTTCTGTGACTCCAGGAAAAGGGGCTCCTGGGCCCAGGGAGGTGCGCGGGCTGGGGACTCGGCCACGGCGCCTCCCGCCGGTCCTTGCCATCTGAAGGCCGGGAGGAGTGGGGAGTCGGCGCTTGCAAAGATACACTCAAGACTGCAGACAGTAAATCAATTTTATTTGTGTTCACAGAACATACTAGGCGATCTCGACAGTCGCTCCGTGACAGCCCACCAACCCCCAACCCTCTACCTCGCAGCCACCCTAAAGGCGACTTCAAGAAGATGGAAGGATCTCACGGATCTCATTCCTAATGGTCCGCCGAAGTCTCACACAGTAGACAGACGGAGTTGAGATGCTGGAGGATGCAGTCACCTCCTAAACTTACGACCCACCACCAGACTTCATCCCAGCCGGGACGTCCTCCCCCACCCGAGTCCTCCCCATTTCTTCTCCTACTTTGCCGCAGTTCCAGGTGTCCTGCTTCCACCAGTCCCACAAAGCTCAATAAATACCAAGAGACCTGCATTTACAGCAGGGGGAACATCTCACACCCTTGCATAAGTTAAAATAAATATTACGTACACATCTCCATCACCTAGGAGGACGTACATAAATACATATAAATATTAATTAGGAGCAATAAGAAATAAATTAACGACGCTCTCCTTCCCACCGGGCCTAGCCCCAGCTGGGCTGTGCCTCGGTCTCTATGCGCCTCGGTCTCTGTGCGCCTCGGTCCCGCCTCAAGCACCGGGTGGCGTCTCCGCTGTAGTGTTCTGAGTTCAAGTTGCCTCGGAAGTCCCAGTTGGGGATACGCTCTCGCGCACCAGGTACGCCTGGTGTTTCTTTGTGGTTTTTCGGATTCTTTTTGGGGAGTGCGGGGAGTCACAGTTAGAAGGCGGCCGGGTGTTGCTGGAGGAAAGTGCTGAGGTCCAGAGCGTAGTCCGAGGGCTCCGAAGTCAGATTAAAGGGCTCGAGGACGGGGGACACAGGGGTGGGCGCCAGGGATGCGGCGTTAGGGGCGTCCTCTGGAGGCAGGGGCGCCGGCACACCCTCTTCAGCCATCAGGATCTGGCAGAAGACGATGGTGAGCAGCAGAAAGAGAAGCCTTTTGGCTGGGTTCGGTTCCTCGACTGGCAGCTGGCGCCGGACCTAAGGGGAGACAAAACAGGAGACAGGTCAGGTCGAGGCCTCTGGAGTCGGGTCGTTCCCCAGTGACTCCAGGGCAGCGCACCCCGCGAATGCCCACTTCGGCGATACTCACCACTCGAGGGTAGAGAACCCTGCGGCTGCGCTTTCGGTGCCCGCGAGAGGCGCTGGGGCGCCCGGCAGGGGCCGCTGCGGGCTCCGGGAGAGGGTCGAAGGTGAAGATCTCAGGACCGGAGCCCCGCCGGGGTCCCGGGATGGTGGAGGGGGCCGGGGTCGGGGCCTGCAGGATGGTCATGGTCGGGTGGCAGCTGCGAGAGTGACACATGGTGAGCCGAGCGGAGTGTAAGGCCAAGTGAGGGTCGGCTGCCGGCAGAGGTAATTTATGTGCTCCTGAAAATTGGGCGGGTCCTTCTAACTCCTCCTCCCGCAGCTGGGGAGCGGTTGGCAGCAGCGGGCTGGAAATTCCGACGATTAAACAAAGGGAGTGGGTGGAGACTTGACATGCACAATCCTAGGCGCCCAACTGCACGTTGTGAGTGTGTGAGTCGTGAGTGGGGGTGGGTGAGATCCCGGGCTGCAGGCACATGTCGAGGCATGTGGCACCTGGAGAGGGGCTCACTTTAGCCACAGGATCCCTCACAGGCCTTTTTTTTTTTTTTTTTTTGGAGATGGAGCAGTCTCGTTCGGTCGCCAGGCTGGAATGCAGAGGCGCGATCTCGGCTCACTGCAACCCCTGACTCCCTGGTTCAAGCGATTTTCCTGCCTCAGCTTCCTGAGTAGCTGGGAATACAGGCACGCGCCACCACGCCCAGCTAATTTTTGTATTTTTAGTAGAGACGGGGTTTCACCCTGTTGGCCAGGGTGGTCTCGATTTCCTGACCTCGTGATCTGCCTCGCTCCCTCCGTCCTTCTTCTAGTAGTCTCAAGTTGCTATTGTTGCCATCTTTACGTCCACGAGTTCCCAATGTTTGGTTCCCACTTATAAGTGAGAATGTATGGTATTTGGTTTGCCCGCCTCGGCCTCCCAAAGTGCTGGGATTACAGGCGTGAGCCACCGTGCCCTGCCAAGAGGGCTTTTTATTGGAGATCAGGCCATCCTGCTGCAATACTGACCCAGTTATATGCACGCATTCATGCACTTGTAGGTATCCTTAGAATATAAACTCCCCAAGAAGGAAATTGTTACAGAAATAGTCAAGATTAAGGGAGAAATGAACACACTAGCACACACAGACACAAACCTGCCTGCCTGAGCACACATGAAGACACACACCGCGTAGCCATACAAAAGAACAAAATTATGTGCTTTGCAGCAACATGGATGCGGCTGGTGGCCATTATCCTAAGCGGATTAACTCAGGAACAGAAAACCAAATACCACACATTCTCACTTATAAGTGGGAACCAAACATTGGGAACTCATGGACATAAAGATGGCAACAATAGCAACTTGAGACCAGTAGAAGAAGGACGGAGGGAGTAAGGCAAAGGTTGAAACACTAACTATTGGGTACTATGCTCAGTACCTGGGTGACAGGATCATTCATACCCCAAACCTCAGCATCATGCAGTATACCTAGGTAACAAACCTGCACATATACCCCAGAATTTAAAATAAAAGTTGGGGAGGGAGGGAAGGATAGAAAGATTAAAAAAGTAATACACAATGGTGGGGCATGGTGGCTCTTGCCTGTAATCCTAGCATTTTGGGGGGCTAAGGTGGGAGGATCACTTGAGCTCAGGAGCCTGGGCAACATAGTGAGACCTTGTCACTATAAAATAACAACAACAACAACAACAATACACAATTAAATATTATTCAGCCATAAAAAGAATGCAATCCTGGAAAAAAAGGAAAACATACCACGTACACCTACCAACACACATGTACACAGTAAAGGTGCAAAGACTGTATAGGGACAGTTCAGCAAAACTACTCTCTTAGGAGCGTGCAGAAATATTCACATAAAGGCTGGTGCAGAGGGCCACAAATACAAAGGCAATAGGTTAGCAGCCACCCAGATTTGCCCCTTGCTGTAAGTCAAACAACCAAATTTATGGGACAAACATTCTAAATTGTGAGACATTATACAAATGTTACAGTAATGGTAATTACTCAACTTAAAGCAGATTCACATTTCCATAACTTCCTTACAGACAGCTGCTCATGGACACAGAATTTAACTTTTTTTTTTTGTTTTGAGACAGGATCTGGCTTTGTCGCCCAGGTTGAAGTGCAGTGGCATGATCTCGGCTGACTGCAACCTCTGCCTCTTGGCTCAAGCCATACTCCTACCTCAGCCTCCTGAGTAGCTGGGACCACAGGTGAGCACCACCATGCCTGGCTAATATATATATATATATATATATATATATATATATATATATATAAAATTTTTTGTAGAGCCAGGGTTTTGCCATGTTGCCCAGGCTGGTCTTGAACTCCTGAGCTCAACCAATCTGCCTGCCTCGGCCTCCCAAAGTGCTGGCAGCCACCGTGCAGAATTTAACATCTTTTGAGCATTCACCTGTTTCAGGCGCCCTCTGTTGAGGGTACTACTGTTGAGAGTCCTGAGGCTAGTTTCAGTATAAGTGCTGTGCCATGCAGCTGCCTGAGGAAAGCCAGATAAAGCTGATACTCCAGCCATGAGGGCCTTACCCTCCGGCATGAGGAGGGAACCATGGCCAGGAGAGCTCTCTATCTGTCTGTCTCTGTTGCTCTCTCTCTCTCTCTTTTTTTGTTATATTGAGTTTCTGCCTGAAGGAAAGGCAAGCTTTCTTGAAGATCCTAAGAAAGGCCAGGCACGGTGGTTCACACCTGTAATCCCAACACTTTGGCAGGCCGAGGCGGGTGGATCATTTGAGGTCAGGAGTTCGAGACCAGCCTGGTCAACATGGTGAAACCCTGTTTCTACTAAAAATACAAAAATTAGCCAAGCATGGTGGCGCATGTCTGTAATCCCAGCTACTCGGGAGGCTGAGGCAGGAGAATCGCTTGAACTCAGGAGGCAGAGGTTGCAGCAAGCTGAGAGCGTGCCACTGCACTCCAGCCTGGGTGACAGAGTGAGACCCTGTCTCAAAAAAACAAGAACAAAACAAAAAACAAAAACAAAAACAAAAAAACCTAAGAAAACTGAAGACTAAGTGTTAAGGGGGGGACCCAAAAGAGCTAGTGTTCACATCTGTCCAATCAATCAGGGGAGGCTTCATGGAAGAGTGGCACTGAAGGTGACCTTGAACAGTGGGTGGGATATGACAAATTCAGATGTGGAGGATGACTGTAAGAATGGAATTAGCAAAGACCTTGAGCTGGAAAAGTACAGGATGTGTTTGGGGAATCACAAGAAAAACAATCTCAGAGTAAGTTTCCTGTAACGGAGTAGTGGGAAGTAATAATGGCTGGAAAGGAGTGGAATTGGGCAGAGTGGGGAGAGCAGAGCTGCCAGGTCAGGAGCCTGGGTTTCACTCTAGACTGTAGAGCTTGTGGGTTGCTGGATGAGATAAAGGGAGGAAAATTCAAGCAGGAAACTGATTGGGATGAGGAGTGATGCTCTGGACGGGTAGAGACTAAGGCAGTAGACAGGAGGCTATTGGAGGGGCTCAGGTAGATGATAACAAGAGCCTGAGAAGGTGGCCCTAAGAGACATTCCTAGCATAAGATAATCAGAATTGGGCAATGAGATGGATATCATTAGGGGAAGGGAGCATGGGAGAGGGAGAGTTGCCGACAGCAAGAGGATGAAAAGATCTGAGATGACTCCAGAGATTTGAAATACATCTGGCTCAGATCTTTCTACCATCATTTTAAGCCTGGTGCACAAAGTGAATACATATATGATCTCTTCCACTGGAGGCTGTGTCATACACATCTTTGTGTCCTCCAGAGAACCCAGCATGGTACCTTGTAGGCAGCAGTTGCTCAATAATCTTGTTAAATGCCAGGTGAAATGTACAACTGTAAGTGTGCATGTAGTATTCCCACCTTGGCTGGGTCACACCAAGCTTCTGAGATGTGGCTACACTCCTCCAAACCACTCATACAAATGTACAACATCTTTAGAAAAGCTGGGACAATTCTTACACAGACACCAAACAGGAAACACTTTTCTCCCCTCCCACTTAGGAAACACTTAAAAGGATTTTTCAATCAAGAACATGTAGGAACACAAATAAGAGGACAGGCCACAACCGGCTAGAAATACACTACTGCTCTGTGTACAATTCCTGGGCCTACAAGTCACTTTATTTTATACTCACTACTCTTATCTAAATACACAAGATCCCTTCCACATTACACACTTCTTCCTGGCTGGCATAAAACACACCTCCTCTGTAAACAAAGGCGCATTGCTTTCCCACGCCTGTCTTCACACCTGCCATCATTCTTACATTTACACCCAAGCACAGGGAGCCCACCACCCCCAACATCCTTATTCCAAGGCAACTCGCACGCTACACAATGACCAACATAAACCCATGACTACTTACACATGTGGACAGACCCTCACACTCACATAAACATAAATTGGGAGTAGGGGGAGATAGTGATGATGGAAGAAAACTAGTGGGTGGGAGAGAGAGAGAAGCACCAAAGGTTAGGAATGCATTACTTGTTTATGATGGAAAATTTCTCTAGGGCATTAGGCAGAGGAGGGGAAATGAAGGGGATGCCAGGATCTTGTTTTGCCACTACCTCCCACATCTGGAATCTGGGCCTCCAGCTGGGTCTAGTTATCCTCGCTGTCCTCCCGGCACAGAGAGACCTTTCTTTGTGGCAAGACCAGAATGGGACAAAGAGAAGACCTGAGAACCCGGACTGCTCACCATTCCCAACCAATCCCATCCCCATTCCTGCTACCCTCAGAGCCCTAGGGCTCTGCTCCTGCTCCTTCCTGCCACACAGGAAGCTAGGGAAATGTTGGGGGTGAATCATTAAGCCAATAAGGGGGTGGGGGAGTGCAGGCTGGGGAATGAGTTAAGGCCAGAAAGTGCCAGGGGCTGAGACGAGCAACTGGACTGGCTCCCACTGCCCTGATACTGGAGAAACAGGCCCTTAGCCTCCTCCATTTCCAGCTCTCCTCCTCATTTCCTTCCCATCTTCCCCCAGATCACCATGTTCCTTCATTTCCCTCGTTTGACCTTTGCCTTGATCCATCACCACTGCTAGCCTCCTTCTCAGCCCCTTGTTTTTCTTCATGACACATATCACGTTGGGGAATCATTTTATGTATTTGCTTTTTGCTGTTGTTTGTCCCGCCTACTGGAATATAATCTCCACGAGTGTACAGGGCCACATCTGACCTTTTTCTCATTAGATCTCTGTAGTATCTCCAGTACTTGGCTGTCACCTAGTAGGAACTTAATAAATATTCTTAAATCTGTCTCCTCCGAGGAGCTAAACCTCATCTGCAGAGAGGTCTGTTTATCTAGCCATGTTCCTTTAGAGGCCCCCATGTTTGCTCTTCAAAGAGGAGGTTGGGGGCACTCAGGTGTGGCTCAGGTGATCCGCCGCTGAATCAGGAACAATTGTGCAGTGACGACAGCGACAGCAAAGCCCTGGCCCGCGCCCTTTACAATCCCTGACATAGGAGTGAGTCAGGCCTGCTGCCTCACCTGGGTACTGCTGCACTGCTGACCACAGGCCCAGAACGGGGGACGGCAAGAATGGGCACTGGCGGAGGCAGAATGGGCAGGGGAAAGGGAGGCAGAGATTTGGAAATGGGAGCATCTGAGAAAGGAAAGCAGGGTGAAGGGACTGCACCAGGGTCCTGGGGGTAGGGAATGACAAAGTGAAAGCTTTTTAGCTGCACCTGGTATTCAGTAGATCCTCAATAACTACTTGGTGACTTGAGATGGGTTTGAGATAGAAAGGAAACACGGAATAGCAAAAAGAACATATTGTAATCTAGTGGTGTTAGACGAAATTGGGTTTAAGTGCCAGCTCTGCTACTTATTAACTAGGCAATATTGGGCCAGTTACTTAATGTTGCTGAAAATCTGTTTCCTCAATTGATAAATGGGCAAATTGACCTCTAGGTAACTGCAAAGGTTAAGAATATAAATTTACTCCTTCTGGGCACATAGTAGGTGCTTCTTGCATGGAGCAGGGGCATTATTATAATTATGAGAAGAGGGACTGCTTTGGAACAGGGATGGGCAGCAGTGAGCCAACCCAGGAGTAGGGAACTGGAATGAGAAAATAACCTCTAACTGCTAACATCACCAGGAGATACAAGTTCTTTCTCTTTTTACTCTGCCCTCCCTCCCTCTCCATATCAGGCAGGTTTTGTGGCTCTTTATTTTCCAGAGAAGCAAAGACTTCTGCATTCCTAGTTCCTGTTCAACTAATGTGAGTGATTTTATTTTTTTATGTATGTATTTATTTATTTTTTGAGACAAGATCTCACTCTCTCACCCAGGCTGGAGTGCAGTGGCATAAACATGGCTCACTGCAACCTCAACCTCCTGGGCTCAAGTGATCCTCCCACCTCAGCCTCTTGAGTAGCTGGGACTCCAGGAACGTGCCACCATGCCCAGCTAATTTTTATTTATTTTGGTAGAGACAGGGTCTTGCCATGTTGCCCAGGCAGGTCTCAAAATTCTGGGCTCAAGCGATCCTCCCGCCTCAACCTCCCAAAGTGTTGGGATTACAGGCGTGAGCCACAAAGTCTGGCCTTTATTTATTTAAAAAATTTAGTTTGGCTGGGCGTGGTGGCTCACGCCCATAATCCCAGCACTTTGGGAGGTTGAGGTGGGTGGATCACGAGGTCAGGAGTTCGAGACCAGCCTGGCCAACATGGCAAAACCCCGTCTCTACCAAAAATACAAAAATTAGCTGGGCGTGGTGGCGTGTGCCTGTAATCCCAGCTACTCGGGAGGCTGAAGCAGGAGAATTGCCTGAACCAGGGAGGCAGAGGTTGCAGTGAGCTGAGATTGCACCACTGCACTCCAGCCTGGGCGACGAGAGTGAAACTCCGTCTTAAAAAAAAAGAAAGTCTTACTCTGTCGTCCAGGCTGGAGTGCAGTGGCACAATCTCGGCTCACTGCAACCTCTGCCTCCCGGGTTCAGGCGATTCTCCTGCTTCAGCCTCCCGAGTAGCGCATGCCACCATGCCCGGCTAATTTTTGTATTTTTGGTAGAGATAAGGTTTCACCATGTTGGCCAGGCTGGTCTGGAAAACTCCTGACCTCACGTGATCCGCCCCCTCGGCCTCCCAAAGTGCTGGGATTACGGGCGTGAGCCACCACACCCAGCAAAAAAAAAAATTTGTTTTTACTCACCACTATACTGACAAGGAACAGGTGATTTTAAACATCCCCTCCCACCTACATTTTAGCTGGAACAATTCTCCAGAGGCATGGGGGTAGAGTGGGGTGGTGAGTTCTAGGCAGCAAGTTAACAAATGACCCCTAAAGATATTCATCTAGGCTCTAGGAGGCCCAAAATCAGGCCCTGGCAGTTCCCCTGACGCAAAACCATGGCAAGAGTTCCGGGAGCACCAAGGCAAGGTCACAAAAGTGGCACGATGACCCTACCCTGGGATGCAGCTCAGCCTGACCCAGCCCAACTCAACCCAGCTACCCTGGAGGCTGCTATGAGCTGAGCCGGGAGCTGGGAAAGGGCCCAGCATTCCTGTCCTTCTGCCAAAGCCGGCTTCTTAGGACCCCAGTGTTGTGGCTCCTCCTTTGGTCTTGGTTTCTTTCCCACCAGATTATAACTCCACCAGAGTAGGACTTTATCTATCTTGTGTACTGCTCTATTTTCAGTGCCTAGAACTGTGCCTGTCAATCAATACAGGCTGCTGAAAAGGCTAGAAATACAGGATCGTTGATGTCATTACTGTTACAGTGCTGTTCCCGTGGGAAGCAGCCTGCATCTCTCTGTAGACAGCTCCAATGTCAGCCATTGGAGAATTTGATGGAGATTGAAGTCAAAACATAATCATAGGGGAAAAATGCACAACAAATAAAATATTTCCCCTTTTGTCCAGACTTTTCAGACACCCCGTATTTACTGGATGAGTTGATCTACAAAGTGAAAGGCATAAATTAAAGGCTCTCTAATGTTTCTCCTCCTCTGAAACCCCATGATTCAGCAGCGTCTCCCATGTGTGCTCAAAAGTTGGACGTGCCTCCAGCCTACCCTCCAAAGCAGTTGCCATAGGCTCTTTTCTTCCAAGGTTGGGAGGGACAGTTCATTCCCCAAGAGGCCTCTCCAGGGGCGGAGGCGGGTGCTGGGGCTGGCCTGTCTGCAGCTCCCTGGCCCTACCCAGTGGGGATCGCGTGTCAGTACTGGGGTTTGGTGGGCTGCCAAGGGGTGAGCCCTGAGGCGGTTTTCTGGGAAGGATAGATGCCATGTGTGACTCAGAACCAAGTTAGGGAAAAAACAAGCTCACTCAATCTCTAGCACCCTCTGCCTGGCCTGGCTTTGCCCATGAGCTCATAAAAGAGGAAGCTGGGCCGGCCAGACAGTAGCTCTGCTTTCCCTCATGTTTTCTCTCCACGTCTCACGGATTCCCTAGAGTGTCTGGGCCTCAGGCCACCGTCATCCTAGCTCCTGGGCCCTGGCTCTTTTATGACACTTTCCCTTCCCAGACACTTGGTCATTTCTTTCCCCAGGTTGGGAATCCCACCTACCATAGAAGGGGAATTGCACACAAGGGGAGGTTGCAAATCTCTGTGTTCCTTGGCCCTGCTGAGGCCTCCACTGTCAGCCATGACCATTTGGGTTTGTGCGTGTGACTGCTGTGTCTCTGACACAGACCAAGTGGTGCTGACCCTGGGAGCCTGAATTAATAGATTTCTTGAGAGCTGAGATTCTCTGGTTCAGGAAAGAAAAAGGGGGTACCAAATGACTGGGCAGCCGAGCCACCCTCAGGGCTGCAATATTCCAGTTGGGACCAACTTACCTAGTACTTTTGGCATTCAGAACAGTTCACTACCAAAAAGGCACATTTTATTTTAGTGAAAATGGGACAATCATGGGCCATAAAGAACCTTCCTAACTATTGTTCCTCCGGTTCACCTCCTATACCCCCCAGGGCTTTCTTGTTCAAAGACAGACTTGACCATGTCCATGCCTGCTTCAGTAAGTTCAGTGGCTCCAAACTCTCTGAGTTCCCAACCCAAATCCAGGCACCTTGCAGGCTTTCTCTTTCAACACCCCCATTGCTTCTTGATGTTGTGCATCTCTAATTTTGTCCTTTTTCTCACACATGCCAAACTCTTACCCATTGGACCCTATAACCGTTCTATTTCTTTTCCTTTTTCCTCCCTATTCTCCTGGGAAAAAACCACTCCTGAACCTGCCATCCAGAATTAGTTCATCTACATTGTATACAAATCTCTCAAAGCATCACACACACGATATTATAGTCATTTGTCTATCTTTTTGATTGCCAGGAGAGGCACGTGCCATTGAGATGCAGCCGTCTTAATACTGGTAACCTCTTGACAAGGCCTAAAATTATTATTAAATTGTCACCATTAAAAAAAAAATCAGTGGCCAGGCACGGTGTCTCATTCCTGTAATCCCAGCACTTTGGGAGGCCGAGGTGGGCAAATCACCTGAGGTCAGGAGTTCGAGACCAGCCTGGCCAACATGGTGAAACCCCGTCTCTACTAAAAATACAAAAATTAGCCTGGCGTGGTGGCAGGCGCCTGTAATCCCAGCTACTTGGAAGGCTAAGGCAGGAGAATCGCTTGAACCCGGGAGGCAGAGGTTGCAGTGAGCCGAGATCACGCTATCGCACTCCAGCCTGGGGGACAAGAGCAAGACTTCTCAAAAAAAAAAAAAATCAGTAAGAAATGTATAAACCAGATATTCTCAACCTATCCCTGTGGGTTGAACTCATCCTATCTCTGACCCTGAGCCTTTCACATAAAATTTGGTAGTATTTGGTGATACTGCATTTTGTTTTAAAAAGTCAGGTAGATTGAAGTATAATTTAAATACAGTAAAATTCATCCTTCTTAGGAGTAGTTTTTGATGAGTTTTGATAAATGCATATAGTTTGTGTAAAGGCCTCCACCATGATGATATAGAGTTTTCCATCACCCCCAAAAGTTCCCTGCATCCCTTTGTAGTCAGTCCTGTCCCCATCCCCTATAGCAACCACTGATCAGACTTCTAACCTTACAGTTTTGCCTGTTCTAGAATGTCATATAGATGAAACTACAGGCTGGGCAAGGTGGCTCATGCCTGTAATCCCAGCACTTTGGGAGGCCGAGGCGGGAGGATCATCTGAGGTCAGGAGTTCAAGACCAGCCTGACCAACATGGTGAAACCCCGTCTCTACTAAAAATTAGCCAGGTGTGGTGGCAGGTGGCTATAATCCCAGCTACTTGGGAGGTTGAGGCAGGAGAATCACTTGACCCCAGGAGGCAGAGGTTGCAGTGAGCTGAGATCACGCCATTTCACTTCAGCCTGGGCAACAAGAGCAAAACTCCGTCTCAAAAAAAAAAAGAAAGAAAGAAAGAACGAAACTACAGTAGACACTCTTTTGTGTCCAGATTCTTTTGCTCAGTATAATATTTTTGTGATTCATCCATGTCATGGCATGATTCAGTAGTTCTTTCCTTTTGACTTCTGCATAGCATTCCATTGTATAAATATATGACAGTTGGCTTATTAATTCACCATTGATGGACATTGTGGTTTTTTTCTTATTTTTGGAAATGATGAATAAAGCTACTATGAACATTCATAGACAACTCTTTTTTAAGACATGTATTCTTATTTCTCTTGAGCAGATGTCTAGGAGTAGTATAACTAGGTGCATGTTTAGCTTAGTAAGAAATCGCTGCTGTGCCCAGTGGCTCACACCTGTGATCCCAGCACTTGCACCACGACGCCCAGCTAATTTTTGTATTTTTAGTAGAGACAGGTTTCACCATGTTGATCAGGCTGGTCTCAAACTCCTGACCTCAAGTGATCAGCCCACCTTGGTCTCCCAAAGTGCTGGGATTACAGGTGTGTGCCACCATGCCCAGCCTAAAGGCAGAAGGATTTCTTGAGCCCAGGAGTTTGAGATCAGCCTGGGCAGCATGGAGAGACCTCGTCTCTACAAAATTAAAAAATTAGCCAGGTGTTGTGGTGCGCGCCTGTGGTCCCAGCTACTCTGGGAGGCTCAGGTCGAAGGATCACTTGAATCCAGGGGTCGAGGCTGTGGTAAGTCACATTCACACCACTGCACTCCAGCCTGGGAGACAGAGCGAGACCCCATTCTAAAAAAAGAAAAAATAAGGGCTGGGCTCGGTGGCTCATGCCTGTAATCCCAGCACTTTGGGAAGCTGAGGCGGGCAGTTCATGAGGTCAGAAGATCGAGACCAGCCTGGCTAACATGGTGAAACCCCGTTTCTACTAAAAATTCAAAAATTAGCTGAGCGTGGTGGTGCGTGCCTGTAATCCCAGCTACTCAGGAGGCTGAGCCAGGAGAATCGCTTGAACCAGGGAGTCGGAGATTGCACAGTGAGCCAAGATTGCACCACTGCACTCCAGCCTGGCGAGACTCCGTCTCAAAAAAAAAAAAAAGAAAAAAAAGAATTTGCTATGCTATTTTCCAAAGTGGTTCATACTGACAGAACTGTTTTAAGGAAGCTGCATCAAAATGTTCCTCTTGTAAATTCTTGCTTAAAATATGCCAAAACTAAGTGTTTTTTTTGTTATAGAACAGGTTGCCACTCAGATTACCTCAAGGGACAGAGATGGGCTGGAATAGAGCCACCTCAGTGGCCAGTAACCTGCCCCTTGAAGAACCAGCATGTCTTCCAGAAGCCACAGTGGCTTCCAGTGCCCAGCGGCAGCCCCAGGAGCACACCCTGCCTCCCTGCCCAGACTCCTTGTGGCTCAGCATCTCTGTCTGCAGTGACTGGCTCTGCCCAGGTCTTGTGGGGTAGTGTGAAGTGACACTAGCCCACACACCTGAGCATGTATGATGCCTCAGAGGCACTGTGTGTTTTTTTTTGTTTGTTTGTTTGTTTGAGATGGAGTCTTGCTCTGTCTGTAGCCCAGGCTGGAGTGCAGTGGCGCGATCTTGGCTCACTGCAAGCTCCAACTCCCGGGTTCATGCCATTCTCTCCCTCAGTCTCCCGAGTAGCTGGGACTACAGGCGCTCACCACCACTCCTGGCTAATTTTTCGTATTTTTAGTAGAGATGGGGTTTCCCCGTGTTAGCCAAGATGGTCTCGATCTCCTGATCTCGTGATCTGCCCACCTCGGCCTCCCAAAGTGCTAGGATTACAGGCGTGAGCCACCACGCCCGGCATAGGCACTGTTTTAAGAGCTATACTCAAATCAATTCATTAAGCCTTCATAACCCCAACTGTTATTTTATCTATACACCCATTTTACAGATGAGAAAAATGAGGTTCAATGAGGCAATTCACTTTCTTAAGGTTGTGTAACCAAGAAGTAATGGGAGTTAGATGTGAACCTAGGTCTATTTCATTCCAAAGCCTAGTGGCATACCTATTTGTCAGAGCATAGATGCTAGAGCCCATCTACCTGGGTTCAACTCCATGTTTGTTTGTTTGTTTTTTGTTTTTGATTTTGAGATGGAGTCTCACTATGTTGCCCAGGCTGGAGTGCAATGGCATGGTCTTGGCTCACTGCAACCTTTGCCTCCCAGGTTCAAGCAATTCTCCTGCCTCAGCCTCCTGATTAGCTGGGATTACAGGCATGTGCCACCATACCTGGCTAATTTTTGTTTTTTTAGTACAGATGGGGTTTCACTATGTTGGCCAGACTGGTCTTGAACTCCTGACCTCGTGATCTGCCTGCCTCGGCCTCCCAAAGTGCTGGGATTACAGGCATGAGCCACCATGCCTGGCTTGTTTGTTTTTAGAGTCAAGATCTTCCACTACAGCTCAGGCTGTAGTGCAGTGGCGCCATCATAGCTCACTATAGCCCCAAACTCCTGGGCTCAAGCAATCCTGCCACTTCAGCTTCCTGAGTTTCTAGGACTACAGGCGTGTGCCACCATGCCCAACTAATTAAAAAAAATTTTTTTTTTTTTTTGGTAGAGATAGGGTCTCACTTTGTTGCCCAGGCTGGTCTCAAACTCTTGGCTTCAAATGATCTTCCTGCCTCAGCCTCCCAAAATGGTGGGATTACAGGTATGAAACACCATGCCTGGACAACTGTATGTTTTAATTCACTTAATTTTCATGGTACACCTCTGAGAGGAGGGCATGACAACACTCATTATACAGGTGCAGTGACAGCACAGAACTCTGTGAAGCAGGGGAATGACAGAGTTGAGTTTGGCATCCAGGAAGTTTGTCTCCAGAGACAAAGCTATTGACCTCAACACCTTCCTGCCTCTCAACAATCCTCATTATTAATGTTATTATTCAACCCACTGACCTAGCTCTTTTTGTCTTTGGGGTTTTACACTGCTCTGATGTTCATGTCCTTGCTTATGTCTTAAATTGAGACTCTGAATGGGTTGTGTACACACTCCCCAGGATACAGTAACCTTTTTGGGTATTCTCACCTCTGGCTGCATCACTGGCCTCTTGCCAGCCCTTGAGAACTGCCCCTAGCTCAAGCAAGGATCCTAATTTAGTAGATGAGGTCAGGGCCGGAAGATTATCTGCAGGGTGACCTATGCCCAAGGACTTACTCCCAAATACTTTTCTCAAGAGAAGGTGGTGTAACCAGAAGACACTTTAAGGTCTTGAGGCCATCCCCAAAGATCATTTGTTTCCTCAAACAGATTTTGGGCTTTTTCAGGTGAGAGACTAATCACTGAACCCACTGTCAGTATTCAGCAGTGTGCCTGATTGATATATACTAGGTACTCAATGGTTTTGACTGAATGATGAATAAATAAATGAATAAATAAAGAAGCCCAGATTCTCTTAATTTAGGTCTATGCTGTCTAATACAGTAGCATGTGGCTATTTATTTTATTTTATTTTTTGAGATGGAGTCTCACTCTGTCGCCCAGGCTGGAATGTAGTGGCATGATCTTGGCTCACTGCAACCTCTGCCTCCCAGGTTCAAGCAGTTCTCCTGCCTCAGCCTCCTAGGTTGCTGGGATTACAGGCTTGTGCCACTATGCCCAGCTAATTTTTGTATTTTTATTATTTATTTATTTATTTATTTTGAGTCAAAGTCTCACTCTGTCACCCAGGCTGGAGTGTAGTGGCGTGATCTCAGCTCACTGCAGGCTCTGCCTCCCGGGTTCACACCATTCTCCTGCCTCAGCCTCCTGAGTAGCTGGGACTACAGGCTCCCGCCACCACACTCAGCTAATTTTTTGTATTTTTAGTAGAGACGGGGTTTCTCCTTGTTAGCCAGGATGGTCTCGATCTCCTGACCTCGTGATCCGCCCGCCTTGGCCTCCCAAAGTGCTGGGATTACAGGCGTGAGCCACCGCGCCCAGCATTTTTGTATTTTTAATGGAGACGGGGTTTCACCATGTTGGCCGGGCTGGTCTCGAACTCCTGACATCAGGTCATCTGCCCACCTTGGCCTCCCAAAGTGCTAGGATTACAGGCGTGAGCCACTGCGCCCAGCTGCATGTGGCTATTTGAATGTAAATTCTAATGAGTCAAAATTTAAAATTCAGTTTCTCAGTTTCATTAGCCACATTTCAAGAGCACGATAATCCCATGTGGCCAGTGATTACCATATTTGAAAACACGGAAATAGAACATTTCCATCATTACAGAAAGATTTGTTGGACAGCACTAGGCTAGATGACAGATAGGGTGGGGGAAGAGAAAATGCTGCATTGGGAAAATGCTTGGTATAGGCTGATGGCTTTAATCTGCTTTTGACACTTTTAAAAGAGTCAAGATCACTTGTCTCTCATTAGATTGTATCGCACACTGCCCATTCAGAGGTCCAGAAACCACTTCTTCTTCAGAAATCTTGTACTGAGAAATGGAAGCCCATTTCTGATCACATACATGACCCATGCTTCTTCAGAAAGGAAGGCATGAAGTTGAAGGGGGAACTAAGACTGCTGAGTTCTTCTGTCTTCGGCCACAGGAAACTAACTGATTCATGGCACTTTGTACCCATGAGCTCATCTAGTCCTCCCAGGGCACAGGAAAGTGGTGAAAATAAGTGGCCATGGTTCACAGATTTTTCAGCTGGTAGAGGCTAGTTCCTACACTTAAAACATCAGTAGATTGTCAAATGTGTTCCAACTAAGAGCAGTGGAAGGCAGAAAGGTGTATAAAATATGGGTCTTAAGAGGTTTATAACCAAGTTAAGGGAAATTAAGAGATCAGCACATAAATATAAGTATACAAAACTGTAACTGTATCTGTAGCTATATGTGTGTGTGCATCTATTTATTATCTATCTACCTACTTATCTAATAACATAATTAACTAACATTTATTTGATATCTTAGAGCTTAACAAGTACTTTTCCTCATATGAAGACTCAGCAGATCCCCATGATGAATGTCAAACAAATGGAATGTTGGTACAGAGAGCAAGCATTCTAGGCATTCGCAGCCGGGTGAGATCACTGTGGATGGAGTGATGGGGGAAAGCTTTTGTTGAGGCAGAACCAGCAGGAATGTGGGGTAGTCACACAAACACAGATACAATTCCTGGTTTCCCTACTAGACACTTCCCAGGCTCTCAATTGCTTGTAGTTTTTGTTTGCTTTTTTTTTTTAAGACATGGTCTCACTCTGTGGCCCAGGCTGGAGTGCAGTGCCATGGTGTAATCATGGCTCGGTGCAGTGGTACTATCATGGCTCAGTGCAGTGGTGCGATCATGTCTCAGTGCAGTGGTGCGATTATGGCTCAGTGCAGTGGTGCGATCATGGCTCAGTGCAGTGGTGCGATCATGGCTCAGTGCAGTGGTGCAATTATGTCTCAGTGCAGTTGTGCGATCATGTTTCAGTGCAGTGGTGCGATCATGGCTCAGTGCAGTGGTGTGATCATGGCTCAGTGCAGTGGTGTGATCATGGCTCAGTGTAGTCGTGTGATCATGGCTCAGTGCAGTGGTGCAGTCATGGCTCAGTGCAGCCTCAACTGCCAGAGCTCAAGCAGTTCTCCCTCCTCAGCCTCCTGATTTGTTGGGACCATGGGTGTGTGCCACCACATCTGGCTAATTTTTTGACTATTTGTAGACACAGGGCCTCGCTATGTTGTTCAGGCCGGTCTCAAACTCCTGGGCTCAAGTAATCCTCCTCGGCTTCCCAAAGTGCTGGGATTACAGGCGGGAGCCACTGCGCTGGGCCCACTGCTAGTAGTTCATTTTACTTTCTAAAAGATAAAATGTTGATGAAGAGTTCTTAGTGATCCATGTTTTCTCTCCAGTCCTCCACCAAAATAACGCATTTTAAAAAAACAAACTCCCACATATTTTATAGTGATTCTACAAATGTAGAATAATTTGGATACTCTTAATACAAAATGGTTTGAGTTACCTTTATTTAATAATCCTGTGATGAGCATACAATGACATACGTCAAATAACTTACAACTCAGGCTTATATAACATCGGCTCTGCCCCAAATTCCTGCCGTGTAGAACACATAAAAATCCAACCCTGCAGTCTGACCAGTCTTGCCTAGGTTCTCCTTACATAATCATAACCACTTCCCTGCCAGGAGCAATTTTAAAATGTTCTTCTAAAGCCCTGTGCACTTCGCCTTGGCTTCCTTTAACTTTTCTTTTCTCTTTTTTTTTTTGAGAGGGAGTTTCGCTCTTGTTGCCCAGGCTGGAGTGCAATGGCTTGATTTCGGCTCACCGCAACCTCCGCCTCCCAGGTTCAAGCGATTCTCCTGCCTCAGCCTCCCAAGTAGCTGGGATTACAGTGTGTGCCACCATGCCCGGCTAATTCTGTATTTTTATTAGAGATGGGGTTTCTCCATGTTGGTTAGGCTGGTCTTGAACTCCCGACCTCGGGTGATCCGCCCACCTTGGCCTCCCAAAGTGCTGGGATTACAGGTGTGAGCAACCGCGCCTGGCCGGTTTCCTTTAACTTTTCTAAAGAGCTTCTACTTTTCTTCCTTGGCATTTGAATTTCTTTGGCTTCAAGCCACAAAAATGATTGTCCTTAACTTGAACAGAATAGATGAGTCTTGGGAGGATATTGAATAGCTCACAGAATCAAAGGAAGGCCAGAGAATCAGGCTCAGGAGACAAAGAACCAGGGTAGCTCCAGCGGATGAGGTAGCAGGAATCGACGGTGTTGTCCTGGCTACCTGCTGAAATGAGTAAGTGACAAAGGGTTTTTTCCATCCTTTCCATTTTGTTCATCATTCAAAGCCCTAGCAGAGAGAATCTGATCAGCCTAGTCTAGGTAAAGGCTAGGGGAAAAAGCACACCTTAACCATAGCTCATTAGGAATGCACACAGGTAATTCTCCAAGGAATCCAGTGACTGTTCTCAGGAGAAGAGAATGCATGCAGGATGGTCAAACCTCAGAAAATATCCACCACATTCGCATTTTCTCTTACCTCCATTTTCTACTTTTTCTAATTATCCACAACAGGGGTGACTAACATATCTTCCAAGGTTGTGAAAAATATATAGAAAAATAAATCTACCTGTATTGGAATTTTTCCCAGAAAGGATTAATGGTTGGGAAAGTTTGGCCCTACTTACCCCTCAGTGTTAAATATAAGGATTAAAGAAAATATATGCAAAATGCCTATTACCTTACTTGGCATGTAGCAAGGTTCATTAAATGTCAGTCCCATTTCACCCCTTCCCATTCACCCACTGTTGTGCTGAAGCCAGCTCACACCAGTTCATGAGAAGAATCATTATAGTTTCAGGAACTTTATGAGCCAACTGGCATAACATTGGTAGCTTGAAGTTGGCCTTTGTAGAGACAGAAAGATGTGATTGCTTTCTGCACCCATCCTGAGTCATGACCAATACTCCCATAACAAAAGACAGGCGAACAAAACAAAAGCATAACAAATTTATTTTATTTTATGTATCTATTTTTTTGAAACGGAGTTTCACTCTTGCCCAGGCTGTAGTGAAGTGGCATGATCATGGCTCACCATAGCCTTAACCTCCTGGGCTCAAGCAATCCTCCTGACTCAGCCTACAGAGTAGCTGGAACTACAGGTGCAGACCACCACACACAGGTAATTTTTTGTAGAGATGGGGTTTCACCATGTTACTCAGGCTGGCCTCGAACTCCTGGGCTCAAACCATCTGCTTGTCTCATCTTCCCAAAGTGCTGGGATTACAGGTGTGAGCCCCTGTGCCCGACCAACAAATTTATTTCATCAAAGTTTTACATGACATGGGAGCCTTCAGAAATGAAGACCCCAGAAATGCTCAGAGAAAACAATTTTTTTGATTAGTTTCGATGAAGAATGGACAGCCAAGGCTGGGTGCAGTGGCTCACACCTGTAATCCCAGTACTTTGGGAGGCTGAGGTGGGAGGATCACATGAGGCCAGGAGTTTGAGACCAGCCTGGCCAATATAATGAAACCCCGTCTGTACTAAAAATACAAAAATTAGCCGGGCGTGGTGGTGTGTGCCTGTAATCCCAGCTACTCAGGAGGCTGAGGCAGGAGAATCACTTGAACCTGGGAGACAGAAGTTGCAGTGAGTTGAGATCGTGCCACTGCACTCCAGCCTAGGCCACAGAATGAAACTCTGTCTCAGAAAAAAAAAAAAAAAAGAACAGACAGTCATGTAGAAATGTGACTGAACACAGGCTGGGCACGGTGGCTTATGCCTGTAATCCTAGCACTTAGGGAGGCCAAGGCGGGCGGATCACCTGAGGTCGGGAGTTCAAGACCAGCCTGACCAACATGGAGAAACCCCATCTCTACTAAAAATACAAAATTAGCTGGGCATGGTGGTGCGTGCCTGTAATCCCAGCTACTTGGGAGGCTGAGGCAGGAGAATCGCTTGAACCCAGGAGGAGGAGGTTGCAGTGAGCCAAGATAGTGCCATTGCACTCCAGCCTGGGCAACAAGAGCGAAACTCCATCTCAAAAAAAAAAAAAAGAAAAGAAAAGAAATGTGATTGAACACAAAGTGAATGGTCGCATGGGAATAGGCTGAGGGAGAAAGCCAGCAGAGCCTGTCTGTTGGGATTCTGCTTGGTCTCTCTGTGCAGCATTCCTTCCTTCTGGATATAGGCAGGGACTCTCCAAAATAAGGGTTTTATGACCTACTATTAGAAAAGGTAGCTCAGTTTTTTTTTTTTTTTTTAATGAGCTGTGCTTATACAGAAAGGCAAAGGAAGGCTAGAGTAATAGTTCTAAGTTTTATGATTGGCTTTGGGGGAAAGACATTCTGGTTTCTTTGACCTGCCTTGGAGGAGAGAGGGGAGCAGGAGAAGGTCAGAGGCAGACTTTACTTCTCAGGTCCTTCCCATGTTCTTCTCAACTTGCCAAAACACCAAACTCTGGGGTATCATTTTCTGAGCCCCAACACCTTGATGGAAGTATTTACACCACAGAAATCGGAAATGTTGCAAGTCAGAACTTTCACCTACCCCCAGCCCTCCACTGCCTCTGAGAGTTAAACATTTACAGGCCACTGCCACATCTGCTCCTTTCTTTCCTTCACAAGTTGTGAGAAGAACCAAGTTAGCATTAGGTTGACCTGTGAGTGACAAAAACCGAATAGAACAATGGCTTCCTAGATGGAAGTCCATTTCTCTCTGACAGAAACAAAGTCCAGAGCCAGGCAGGCAGCTCGGGGCTGGGACAGCTCCGCCTTGCTGCCTCACTGTCTTTGATGCATGGCTCTTTGTGATTTAGGATGACTGCTCAGGCTCCATGTTCAGGCCAAGGGGAAAGAGAAGGACAAAGAAATACACACCCCATCCTAGTAGGTCCACAGACAGAAGTAACCCGTAACATTTCTGCTCATTTCAAATAGGTTGGAAGGAAGTCTCTCTGCCACATCTGGCTGCCAGGGAGGCTTAGAGCCCTGTTGCTTCCTGCAGGCAGCCATGTGCCCTGCTGGGGGCTGAGAAGGGGAGGACAGGGGCCGGGGGGCAGCTGAGAAGCCAGGTGGGATTCGAGAACATGTAGGGGAGAGGGAGAACTGGTGTTGGTGTGATGGGAATGAGCATAGTTTGTGGAACTCTGGGGGAGCTGACTGGAATAGAAAATTAAAAATACTGACAAATGAGGTTAAATAAACAAGGTGGAAGCCAGAGCTCAGTGAGGGACCAGGAAAGCAGACAAAAGAATCTTTATCTGCTGCCACTAGACACCGGAGGCACTGAACTTTCCAGCAGGGGAGCTACATGATCAGAGGCATTTCAGAAATGTTAATCTCACACTTAAGTGCTAGACAGATTGGAGGCAGGAGGAAAAACAGGAAGCAGCAGGGAGGTTGGAAAGGAGAATTATTTCATAAGCCAGGTGTGAGGTGATTATCGGGGAACCTGCCCCATTAGTCACGTAGGTTCTTTTCTATTTTCCTAAGCATCGGCCAGTTTGAGAAATAAAGGGACAGAGTACAAAAGAGAGAAATTTTAAAGCTGGGCATCCGGGGGAGACATCACATGTTGGTAGGTTCCGTGATGCCCCGCAAGCCGCAAAACCAGCAAGTTTTTATTAGGGATTTTCAAAAGGGGAGGGAGTGTGTGAATAGGTGTGGGTCACAGACATCAAGTACTTCACAAGGTAATAGAATATCGAAAGGCAAATGGAGGCAGGGCGGGATCACAGGACCACAGGACCGGGGCGAGATTAAAATTGCTAATGAAGTTTCTGGCACAATTGTCATTGATAACATTTTATCAGGAGACAGGGTTTTGAGAGAAACTGGTCTGACCAAAATTTATTAGGCAGGAATTTCCTCTTCCTAATAAGCCTGGGAGCGCTATGGGACACTGGGGTCTATTTCACCCCTACAGCCTCGACCATAGAAGATGGCCACGCCCAGGGGGGCCAGTTCAGAGACCCACCCCCAGGCGTGTATTCTCTTTCCCAGGGATGTTCCTTGCTGAGAAAAAGAATTCAGCAATATTTCTCCCATTTGCTTTTGAAAGAAGAGAAATATGGCTCTGTTCCGCCCAGCTCACCGGCGGTCAGAGTTTAAGGTTATCTCTCTTGTTCCCTAAACATTGCTGTTATCCTGCTCTTTTTTCAAGGTGCCCAGATTTCATATTGTTCAAACACATATGCTCTACAATTTGTGCAGTTAATGCAATTATCACAGGGTCCTGAGGCGACATACATCCTCCTTGGCTTACGAGATGACAGGATTAAGAGATTAAAGTAAAGACAGTCATAGGAAATCACAAGGGTATTGACTGGGGAAGTGATAAGTGTCCATGAAATCTTCACAATTTATGTTTAGAGATTGCAGTAAAGACAGGCATAAGAAATTATAAAAGTATTAATTTGGGGAACTAATAAATGTCCATGAAATCTTCACAATCCACATTCTTCTGCCATGGCTTCAGCTGGTCCCTCCGTTTGGGGTCCCTGACTTCCTGAACAGTGATTACATGGGGACAATGGGAATGAGGAGGAAGAATGAGAGGCATTTGCTAGAAAATGTATTCAAACTGATGGCTGGTCTGAAAGGGAGTTGTAGGCTGGGGTGATGAGAGACAGGTCTCATAGCAACAGGGTAAACAAAGTAAACTTGGCTTGGTTGGTGTTTTATTTATTATTATTATTTTTTTGAGATGGAGTTTTGCTCTTGTTGCCCAGACTGGAGTGCAATGGTGCAATCTCAGCTCACTGCAACCTCTGCCTCCCAGATTCAAGTGATTCTCCTGCCTCAGCCTCCCGAGTAGCTGGGGTAACAGGTATGTGCCACCATGGCCAGCTAATTTCTTTATTTTTACTAGAGACGGGGTTTCACCATGTTGGCCAGGCTGATCTCCAACTCCTGACCTCAAGTGATCCGCCCACCTTGGCCTCCCAAAGTGCTGGAATTACAGGCATGAGCCACGGCACCCGGCCTATTATTATTATTATTTTATTTCGAGACAGGGTCTTCCTCTGTCACTCAGGCTGAAGTGCAGTGGTGCAATCTCAGCTTTCTGCAACCTCTGCCTCCTGGGCTCAAGCGATCGATCCTCCTGTCTCAGCCTCCCAAGTAGCTGGGACTACAGGCGCATGCCACAAAGCTAGGCTAATTTTTTTTTTGTATCTTTTGAAGAGGCAAGATTTTGCTGTGTCCAGCCTGTCTCCAGGCTGGTCTTGAACTCATGAGCTCAAAGCAATCTGCCCACCTTGGCCTCCCAAAGTGCTGGGATTGCAGGTGTGAGCCACTGCACTCGGCAGCAGGTGTTTTAGATTGGGCTACCTTGAAGCAGAACCTGGGGTGGGGACTTTTGTTCAAGAGATACACTGCGGGAGGCTCTCAGGAGAAAGACTGAAGAAAACAGGATAGGGAAGGGAAAAAGGCTAAGCAAGGATGTGAGCTTCAGCCTGAGCTCATGGGGAAGCTCAGGGCAGCAAATTGCACCAGTCAATTGCACTTGGAGGCATGGGGGCTGGCGTTTTGTAGATCTGCTTTAAGGTCAGGCAGCCACTGGGAGTCTGTCCAGAGTGTGTGCAAGGGAGGAGGGCTTGGCTCCTGTTTGGCCCAGGGCAATTCTCCAGAAAAGGGGACAATTGTGTGTGGTTATCAGCTGATATTCCCAAAAGCTGGAAAGTGAGTGGACTCACTGGTGAAAAGGACCTGAGCCCAAACAGTGTCCATGATAGTGAATCCATTTTGGTTGTGTTGGATTTGAGGTGGCAAAGAAATAAGGAACTGGCATGTGACTGCGGGAAATTGGAGCTACAAGACAGGAGTTCAGGTGAAAAGATAGGACTAGGTATGTAGCTATTGGAGTGGGGGACTTCGGCGCACAGATGATAGGGTTTTTTGTTTGTTTGTTTGTGAGGGTTTTTTTGTTTGTTTGTTTGTTTGTTTGTTTGGAGAGAGGGTCTTGCTCTGTAACCCTGGCTGGAGTATAGTGGCATGATCATAGCTCTCTGCAGCCTTGACCTCCCAGGCTCAAGAGATCGTCTCACCTCAGCTTCTTGAGTAGCTGATACTACAGGTGTATGTCACCACTCCCAGCCAATTTTTTAAACATTTTTTTAGAGACTGGGGGTCTCACTGTGTTGCCCAGGCTGGTCTCAAATTCCTGGGCTCAAATGATCCTGCTGCCTCAGCCTCCCAAAGTTTTGGGATTATAGGTGTGAGCCATGGCGCAGGCCTAGATGATAGTTTAAACAAGAGGGAATTTGTATATTTGTCACTTTGGGGGTTGCTGGTGGCCTTTGAAGGAAGAGTTTCACAGCAGGACAGAGTACAAAACCATATGGTGACGTGAGGTCTAGTAATGCTTTCCACAGTTAATGTCCTTCCATTCTGACTAACTCTTAACACCTCTAGGGTACTTTCTCCTTCGACTTATGTGCTGCTCATTCTGGCTTGTCCTCTGTGTTCTGGTTATTTTTTGTTGTCCAACAAATTGCCTCAAAATTTTGTGGCATGAGACAACCCTTTATTACGTTCACGGATTCTGTGGGCCAGGAATTTGGACACACCGCAGTGGGGATGGCTTGTCTCTGCTCCATGTTATCTGGGGCTGCAGCTGGAAGACTCGAAAGCTGGGGGACTGAAATCGTCTGCAGACACTTTGCAGTGGATGCTGGCAGTTAGCTCAGGGACCTCAGGGTTTCTACCTGTGGTCTAGTTAGAGTTTCTCTTGCATAGTGGCTGGGTTGCTGTGAGGGAACCAGGCATGAACTGCTTTTTTTTTTTTTGAGGCGGAGTTTCACTCTTGTTGCCCAGGCTGGAGTGCAGTGGTGCAGTCATGGTTCACTGCAGCCTTGACTACCCAGGCTTAAGTGATCCTCCTGCCTCAGTCTCCCTGGTAGCTGGGGCTACTGCCAACATGCCTGGCTGATTTTTGTATTATTATTATCATTATTTTGTAGAGACAGGGTCTCACTATGTTGCCCAGGCTGGTCTCCAACTCCTGGGCTCAAGCAATCTGTCCATCTCAGCCTCCTAAAGTATTGGGATTACAGGTGTGAGCCACTGTGCCCAGCTGCATTCTTTTTATAACCTCATCTTTTTTTGATCTGCATCACCTCCCTCCTACCCTATTGGTCAGAGTAGTCACAGCCCCGCTCCCATTCAAAGAGAGGGAACATGGCCCCTACCTGGAGTGTCAGTCATGGGACAAGGAGAGCAAGTGGAAAGGGGCACCCAACTTTGGAAAATACCATCGGCCACACTCTATCGGAGCCTCCATTTGCTTTTTATGAGTGGCCTTCATTTATTTAGCTGTCATTGGGTCAACAATAACAGCAACTTGAGGAACCTCTTGAGGGCAGGGATCAGGCCTGTTACGTTTGTTTACTTTATCTTTATATCCTGAGCATTGGCCCAGGAATAAGTATCTGTGGAAGGACGGGATCCTTCTAAGTCTCTCATCTATTTTTCATACACGGCATCATTTAATTCTAAACTAGCTGTCATTACCATTTCACAATTGAAGAAACTGAGGCTTAGAGGCGCAAATGGTCTCTCTCAGATGACTCAGGTCTTCTGGGTTGATGTGGCTTTTATTAAGAACTTGTTGTCTCCAACAGCAAATAGCATTCCTAGGGGCTGGGGCTGTTTCTTCAAGGCCCCTGCCTCTGCACCCTGGTAGCAGCACAGGCCTAGCTGTAGGGCTGTGGACAGCGTGCCCTCGGCTGCTTACTGACTGGTTGGCATTTGATACATATGATGATTTAACATGAAGATTTAGTGTGATTTTGCATCTCTTCATGGGAGCAGGGTCAGGACCAGGTCCTGTTGCGGAATTCAGCTTTGGGGCTGGGTAGAAGACTGGGATGAAGTTGCTCCTCATCTCTGTGCCCTGGCTATGAGCAGGCAGCACCTGGGTCAGGAGTGTGAGGTGAGTGGGTGATGCTAAGGAGGGTTCAGGTGGAGCAGTCAGACTGTGCTGAGTAACTCCCCTGGAGGGGAAGGGGGACGTGGTGGAGGCAGTTCCTGGAGGCCCAGCTCAGAGCGGAGAAAGGAGCCAATTACCACCTCCTCCCAAGTCACATCCCAGCCCTGGGAATACTTCACAGGCTCCGGGGAAATCCCGGCCAAGTGGCAGAGTGGGTGGTGGGGTGCTTATCACTCATGATCAGGAGTGGGTGGGGGCGGATCTTAGAGCTTGCATCAGGCCTCAATTTTCCAACTCCTGCCTGTGATCCACCCCCGCGCCCACTGCACACCACCAACCAACCTTTGACTTTATCTCTTTAGTTGATTTCTCAGAGATTGCAGATCAGGAAGGGCCTTTGGAAACCACAGCTTCCACTTCCGCTGTGGGGGCAGAAAGCACGGGACAATCTAACCCTTTCGTGCCTGGAAAGTAACAAGGAGGACTCTGCCCTTACCAGGTTCCCAAGGTCCTGTACCAGCCCCACAGGGACTGCTGAGGGGAGCTTTTTCTCTCTGGTTCCTCATCCTCTCCTCTACTCAGGTGTAGGCTGTCCCTGCCTAGTTGGTCTGACAGTAGCTCCCTGCGACTTCTCATATCACCTCCGACTCCCCAGCCTCACCTCCACGGGCCCTGATGCACTGGCTTCGGCTGTGTCTTTTGTGAGTCATCCTTGCTGCTTTGTTCCAGCCCCACTGATGGGCCTCCTGCCCTCCCCCATGCAGGACTTAGTCACCGCTCGTGTCATCAATCCCTCTGGAATGCACCCCTCCTCCAGACACCCATGCTCCCCACATCCTTTATTATTTTGTTAAAACTAGCAATGCCCCCCCCAACCCCCATGATTAAAATAGTACATGTTTGTTGTGGGAAATCTGTAATATGCAAAATATACACAAAAGAGAATAAAAAGCACCAATAATTCCATAACCCAAATTAGCTAACATTACATTCCGGTGGATTTCCATCTGGCATTCTCCTCGCCAGAACTCCGTCCAGCTTCAGGCCTTCATGTGTGCTTATTGCTTCTTTTACCTGCAGTCATGCTCTCTGTCTCTCCCCTCCTTCAATCTGTGAGCAAATCTACTCATCCTTATTATTTTAAGGGTCATTCTTTCAGAGAAACCTTCCCTCTACCCCCAAGCTAGTCTCTTTATTACACACTCACAATACCCAGTACTTTTCCTTGTAGCACTCACCACAACTAGAAATAAATCATCATTTTTGTCCTCTTGTGTTTAATGTCTGCCTAGCTACCTGACGTAAGGTCTGTGACTGGTTTTCTTGTTTACTCTGATGGCCCTAGCACCCATCACAGTGCCCTGTACTCAGAAAACATACATCATACCCAGATGCCTTCCCGGAATAACCATGTGCCTGTCTTCCCAGCACTTACAATAATCAATTTAACAAATATAATTAATCAATTACTATGTGCCTGGCTTGGTTTCAGGTACAGGATACCAAGCAAAATGACCCAGTTCTTACCCTCGAGGAGGTCTCAGTCTTTTGAGGGAGACAGATCAGTAATGGAAGCTTTCTAATGTACAGCTAAGTAAACGGTGATCAATAGTGTTAGGTAAAGTGTGGAGGAGAGGTCCGTGAACAATCCTGGGGAGATGACACCATTGTTTTATCTTGTTAATGCATTTACTTCACAGAATCACAGGATAATGGAATTGGACGGCACCATGAGATCAGCAGGCCCATCTCTTCCTGTACAGATGAGGAAACTAAAGTGGTGAAGGGTAGTGAAGCCACTTAGCCAAAGCCATTGGGTGACAGATCTGGGAATAGAACTTGGATCTTTAGATTCCCAGCCCAGGGCTCTTTCCACTGTACCTGGGGGCCTTTGGACTCCCCCTCCCCTCTCCTCTTATTCTGTTAATCCCCAAGTCCTTTGATTTTCCCCATGAAGGTCTCTCCAATCTCTCCACTTTTCCTCATCCCCACATCACCAGGCTCTAAGCCTCCAACATCATCTCCAGCCTGAGCACCTACCCTCACCTCCTACCTCATCTCTCTGCTTCTAGTCTTGCCCTGCTCAGATGCCTTCTCCACTCTGCCGCCAAAATGAGCCTCACAGATGTACGCATGTCTGTCCCTGGCTTAGAACTCCAGTGGCTTCCCACCAGGCTTTTAGAAATATACTCAAAATTCTTATATGGTGTATTAGTCAGCTCAGGCTGCCATAACAAAATATCCTAGACGGGGTGGCTTAAACAACAGAAGTTTATTTCTCACAGTTCTGGAAGCTGAGAAGTCCAAGACCAAAGTGCTGGCAAGGTCAGCTTTATTCAGACTTTCAGAGTCCTCTTTTCTTTCTTTCTTTTATTTTATTTTATTTTATTTTTTTATTTTTTTTGAGACAGCATCCTGCTCTGTTGCCCAGGCTGGAGTGCAATGGCGTGATCTCGGGTTCAAGTGATTCTCCTGCCTCAGCCTCCCGAGTAGCTGTGACTGCAGGTGCCCGCCACCACACCCAGCTAATTTGATACTTTTAATAGAGACGGGGTTTCACCATGTTGGCCAGGATGGTCTCGATCTCTTGACCTTGTGATCTGCCTGCCTCGGCCTCCCAAAGTGCTGGGATTACAGGCGTAAGCCACCACGCCTGGCCTCTTTCTTTCTCTTTTTTTTTTTTTTTTTGAGACAGAGAGAGTCTTGCTCTGTCACCCAGGCTAGAGTGCAATGGCATGATCTCGGCTCACTGCAAACTCTGCCTCCCAGGTTCAAGTGATTCTCCTGTCTCAGCTTCCTGAGTAGCTGGGATTACAGGCGCCCACCACCATGCCTGGCTAATTTTTGATTTTTAGTAGAGACGGGGTTTCACCATGTTGGCCAGGCTGTTCTCAAACTCTTGATCTCAGGTGATCCACCCTCCTCAGCCTCCCAAAGTGCTGGGATTACAGGTGTGAGCCACCGCACCTGGCCCAGAGTCCTCTTTACTTCGTTGTAGGTGGCCGCCATTTTGCTCTGTACTCACATGGCCTCTTCGTGCATGTGGGGAGAGAGAGCTCTCTTGTGCATCCTGTTCCTTTTATAAGAACACCAGTCCCATCAGATTAGGGCCTCACCCTTAGGACCTCATTTAACCTGAATCACCTAAAAACCCTATCTCCAAATATAGTCGCATTGAGAGTTAGGGGTTCAACATACGAATTTGGGGGGACACAATTCATTCCATAGTGTAGGGTCCACTGGGCCTTTTTTGGTTGAGCCCACCTTACCAGCCTCTTCTAAACCCAACTCACCTCTCTGTCTGTACGCTTTTATATCTTGGAATTTTTTTGGTTCCTCCGACTTGTCTAGATCTCTTGTAGCTCAGGTTCCCCCTCCCCCTGCTCTGATGTTTTTATATTTTCATCATTTTCAAGTCTCAGTTTGAACATTAGCTTCTAGGAGAGGCCTTCCCTGATCTGCATCCTGTGTTAGGTCCTCTGGCTATACATGCCTATGGTACCCTGAACTCCACCTTGTGTAAGAGTCACCACCTCAGTCCTGTGTGTTTCATATCTGTCCTTCTGAGCTCCACAAGGCAGGAAGATCTCTGTCTGGTTGGTTGCAGTATCCCCAGGGCTAGCACAGTGCCTGGTGCCTACTAAGCAGTCAAGATTAACTTTTACTGGTAGATGCTCAATACATTTCCATTGACCTGAGCTGTCCTCAGAGAGTATATGTATTTTGTTGTCTAATTTGGGTTGAAATCTCTCAGAAGGGTCCTATCTGTTCCTTACTTGAAATCTCCTATCCCGTGCCCATCCTGGGCTCCTTCATTCAGGAAACATTCCCATAAATGATTATTAACTGATCTCCCTACAACTTTCCCAACATGTATCACATTTGAAGGAACAATCATATTTAAAAGAATATGTTACATAGCAGGACAGTTTATTATGAATGTCATGTAACAACAATCTACTGAGAATTAAAAAGAAACTAAAGTGTTCCTCTCCTCTCCCACCTCTGGGCAACCAGGACTTCATTTCTTTGAAATTGTGGATTTCCTGACCCCTGAGGTGTTTGGCTTTTTGTGTATGTTTTAGAAGGAACAGAAAGAATCAGGCTGGGTGGGGCTGTAAAGGAAACCCACCCTAAGCAGGCCTCGTTTTGGAAGAGCTGGAAAGATACCTGTGGTGCCAGATGGTATGAGAGTACAGGGTGTGAGGGCAGGAGCCTACTTCTTGGTTGACTCTTAGACTTCCATGGACTCATGGAAAAGAGAAGGGGTGCAGGCTGGGCACAATAGCTCATACCTGTAATCCCAGCACTCTGGGAGGCCGAGGTGGGCAGATCACTTGAGGTCAGGAGTTTGAGACTAGCCTAGCCAACATGGTGAAACCCCGTCTCTACTAAAAATACAAAAATTAGCTGGGCGTGGTGGTGGGTGCCTGTAATCTCAGCTACTCGGGAGGCTGAGGCAAGAGAATCGCTTGAACCTGGGAGGCGGAGGTTGCAGTGAGCTGAAGTCATTCCACTGCACTCCAGCCTGGGCAACAAGAGCAAGACTCTGTCTCAAAAAAAAAAAAAATCAGAATGGTGGTTAGTTTGGAGTGAGGTGGGCAGGAAAGAGGGTGCTACATATTGACTGCAAGGGAAACAAGGGAGACTCCTGGGTTGAAGCTATCTTGTCTAGATGGTGGTTAAATGGGTAAATATAAATGTAAAAGCTCATCGGTTTGTTTCCTGCTGATAGCCAATTAGTTAATTAATTTAATTTAAAAAAACTAATTGGGGCCAGGTACACCGGCTCATTCCTGTAATCCCAGCACTTTAGGAGACTGAGGCAGGAGGATTGCTTGAGCCCAGATGTTCAAGACCAGTCTGGGCAACATGGTGAAACCCTGTCTCTGCAAAAAATACAAAAATTATCTGGGCATAGTGGTGCACGCCTGTAATCCTAGCTGCTCAGGCTGAGGCAGAAGGATCACTTGAGCCCAGGAGGTTGAAGCTGCAGTGAACCATTATCATGCCACTACTCCAGCCTGGGCAACACAGTGAAACCTTGCTTAAAAAAAGAAAAGAAAAGGAAAAGGAGAAAAACATCAAACTGCATACATTTTTAAAATGAAAAAAGGAAACAAATTACTGACACATGCAATGACTTGGATGAATCTCAAAGGCATTACGCTGAGTGAAAAAAGTTCTCAAAAGTTACAGACTGTATGATTCCATTTATGTGACACTTTTGAAAAGATAAAACGATAGCAACAGAGACTAGATCAAAATAGCAAAATAGCAGGGAGTTTGTCGGGGGCAGGAAAGAGGATGGGACTACAAAGGGGTAGCCCGAGGGAGTGTTTTAGGCAGTGGAGCTATTCTGTTTCAGTGGTGGTGATTACATGATCGATTGTGGTGATTACATGAATCTTTACACATGTGAAACTCATAGGACTGTCCACTGAAAAAAATCAATTTTACTTTATGTTAATTTTTAAAATAAAATTATTTTTAATTAAGAAGAGACCTTCTAGCCCCTCAATAGCGCAGAGGAGTTCCTGAAAGGAGGCGCTAAGGAACTGGCTACCCTGGAAAAGGCATACCACCTTCCCCGCCTTGCCCTGTACCAGGCCTGGGGATCTTCCTGGGCCCTCTGTGGTTCTCACTCTCCTTCCTTGTCCTCCTGCTGGGCCAGAGTGACCCACACATCCCCTCCTTTAGCATCTAAGTCTCGGGGTCTAGGAAGCCAGTGTGCTTTGCTCACTCCTACGTCCCCGGTCCCTGAGACACAGGTACGAGGTGGTTGCTCATTGACAGAGTGAAGGAATGTTCTAGCACCAGGCCTGATCCGTCTTGGCACACTCCACAGGCTTTTCTATGTTTAGCCTCCTTTCCAGCTGCCCAGAGGACACGCCATAGCTGGGAGACATCACTGTCGAGGTGTGGGTCACAAGCTTACCCCTCCCATGAGGCAGGGTTACCAGCTTTCCTATCGTTTGAAGAATTTAGCAATCTGAGTTTATTATTGCTGTCATTCTAATTTTGAAATACATTTTTATTATACAAGAAAATCTGTTCAATTAAAAAAAAAACAGTTAAAAAAAAAGGGAGATCCGGTCCCACTTCCCAGACTCATAACTGTTACTAGATCCTTCTCTATCTATCTAGAAACATTTATGTGAAGGTAGGCATGTATGTCCACATATATGCAACAGATATGATTGCCCCACAGCTCCTGGGCTACAAGTAATGTCTTGTTTCTTTGTGGACTCACTCAAATAGACTCTGGGTCCAGCCCTGCCCACCACTGACTGGAACTCCAGTGTCAGACAGTTTTCAGGCTCCCTCCCTCAGGTCATACAAGATGCCCAGACTGATGCAGTACTGATGAAACGGAAGAGTCTGTTCCTCTGGCCACATGGTCAGCACTTGCCAGCTGCTTGCCCAGGTCAGTGGGGACCATTATGAGTCAGGCTGCTGGTGGGGTGTGGTGGCTCACGCCTGTAATCCCAGCACTTTGGGAGGCCAAGGTGGGTGGATCACCTGAGGACAGGAACTCCTGACCTAAGTGATCTGCTCTCCTTGGCCTCCCAAAGTGTTGAGATTACAGGCGTGAGCCACTGCGCCTGGCCTATTCTGACTTCTGTTACCATAAATTGGTTTTGTCTGGAAGGTTTCTAACAATTGTGGTGCAAGTTTTATAACCCACCTGGTTTTGTCTTGGGAATTAGAAGTCTCTCAATGTTTTGGAGAGAGATTCTGATGCCCCTCACCAGAAGTCATGCTCTGGGGCCAGTGAGCAAAGATGAGCTTCTTATCCTTTTTCTTCCTGGGTTCCAGCAAGCCAAGCCTCACAGCAGTGTCCAAAAAGTTGGTAGAAAAGGCCTAATTTTTTTTTTTTTTTTTCAGGCAGAGTCTGGCTCTGTCGCCCAGGCTGGAGTGCAGTGGCGCGATCTCGGTTCACTGCAAGCTCCGCCTCCCGTGTTCCCGCCATTCTCCTGCCTCAGCCTCCCTAGTAGCTGGGACTACAGGCGTCTGCCACCGCGCCCGGCTAATTTTTTTTGTATTTTTTAGTAGAGACGGGGTTTCACTGTGTTAGCCAGGATGGTCTCGATCTCCTGATCTCGTGATCCTCCCGCCTTGGCCTCCCAAAGTGCTGGGATTACAGGCGTGAGACACCGTGCTCGGCCTTTTTTTTTTTTTTTTTTTGAGACAGAGTCTTGGTCTGTTGCCGAGGCTGGAGTGCAGTGGCACCATCTCAGCTCACTGCAACCTCTGCCTCCTGGGTTCAAGTGATTCTCCGGCCTCAGTCTCCCAAGTAGCTGGGATTACAGGCACACACCACCTCGCCAGCTAATTTTTTGTAGTTTTAGTAGAGATAGGGTTTAGCCATGTTGGCCAGGCTGGTCTCGAACTCCTGGCCTCAAGTGATCCGCCCACCTCAGCCTCCTAAAGTGCTGGTATTACAGGCATGAGCCACTGTGCCTGGCCAGGCCTAGCATCTTAAAAACCCAGTGGAGGGGAAGGTCACAGTCCTAGGAATCAAAAGGCATGGGTTCACTTCCTCTCTCTGATATTTGCTGCATGTTCTTGAACAAACTATGTAAACTTCTTGAGCCTCAGCTATTTCATCAGTAAAGTGGGAACAGTAACATCCACTGTGATTATCAGACCTATTTTTAAATACTTGAGGCCCTCTTTCCTTCAAAGGGTGTAAGAAAATTGAACTTTGCCACTCCATTTAACTCCTACCCACTAATCCAGGCGTGGCTACGTGACTTACTGAGGCCAATTAAAATGGTGCCTTCTAGGTGGAAGTTTTAAAAGCTAGTGTATGCTTTTCCACATTTTTTTTTCTCCTTCAACTATAGTAATTGGTGATATTCCACATAGTGGCTGCTCTGTCAACCTGGGTCCTGGAGTTAGGACAATGACAGCTCAGAGCAGAGCCTCGGCCAACCCACCATGGATATGTGGCAGGAGAGTCAATGAAGCTTTGCTGCATAAAAGCCATTGAGATTTGGGGGTTGTTTGTTACTGAAGCATAACCTAGCCTGCTTGGTTGATATACCACATTACACATTTATTACTAAGATTATGTGAAGTAAAATGTTTGGAACTTCTTGGTACATAATAAAGCTGATTTTCTTCCTTTCAGACTCTCCTTTTTTCTTTCTAAGAGTCATGAACCCAGGGATACTTTTTTTTTTGAGACAGAATCTTGCTCTGTTACCCAGGCTGGCGTGCAGTGGCGTGATCATAGCTCACTGCAGGCTTCCCCTCCTGATCTTAAGTAATCCTCTCCCACCTCAGCCTTCCGAGTAGCTGGGATTGCAGACATACCCTGCCATACCCAGCTGATTTTTTTATTTTTTGCAGAGACAGGGTCCCACTATGTTGCCCAGGCTGGTCTTGAACTACTGGGCTCAAGTGATCCCCCTGCCTTGGCCTGCCAGAGTGCTGGATTACAGGCATGAGCCACCGCACCTGGCCCCCAGGAATGTTCTTACCAGCTTCTAACCCTGGCTAAAGGGCAATAGAACAGAGAGCCACTCAACCACAAAAGAAAAAGGAAGAAGAAAGGATATAAAGCAACAAAGGTACAGAAATGTAATACAGAGGAAAGGAAAAGAAACAAAGTGATAAAGAAGGCGAGACAAAGTATAAAAACAGGGAAGAAAGAGGTACAGAGGGCCAGGCAGGGTGGCTCACGCCTATAATCCCAGCAATTTGGGAGGCCCAGTCAGATGGATCACCTGAGGTCAGGAGTGCAAGACCAGCCTGGCCAACATGCTGAAACCCCGTCTCTACTAAAAATACAAAAATTAGTTGGCCTTAGTGGTGCAGGCCTGTAATCCCAGCTACTTGGGTGGCTGAGGCATGAGGATCGCTTGGAACTGGGAAGCAGAGGTTGCAGTGAGGTGAGAGTGCGCCACTGCACTCCAGCCTGGGCCACAGAGTGAGATTCTGTCTCAAAAAATAAAAAATAAATAAATAAATAAAAATAAAAAAAAACAAAACAAAACAAAACAAAAAAACAGGTATAAGGGATGTCTGAGGCATAGACAGAGGTGATTCTCAGAAAAACAAAAGAAAACAAAAGGAAAAACCACTGAGGCAAAGGGAAACTGTATTTCTTGGAATTGTTGGCCCCAACCCCAGGCAAACAACATTTTCCCTTAAGACAAATGAACAAACAAACTTTGGCAAATAGAGCTTCTGGGTGTGCATTTATCAGTCTTTCCACTCGGTTTACTGGGCGCCTACTCTGTGCCTGACATTGTGCTTGGGCTGGCTTTACAGGGGCAACCAAGACCTAGTGCTGGCCTCTGCCTTCAAGGAGCCCCTAGACTGGTGTGAAACAGACACAAGAACAGTTGGGATTCAATCTGGCTTGTGCAATGATGGAAGTGCCAGGAGGAATTAAGGGAAGAGAAGGGGAAGCAGGCCCTGCAAAGGGGCTTTCTGGAAAATTTGAGCCTGAGTGTCTTGAAGGATAACTAGGAGTTAGCAATGGCAAGGTTTCTGAGGAGAAAGAGGGACCACGATGGGCAGAGGGGCAATAGGAGCCAGGTAGCTGCAGGTAGTCTGGGGTTGCTGGACCCTTGATGAGAGGCTGTGGGCAGCAGGAGATGAGGCTGGAGAGGGATTCAGGGTCCTATCACAGAGACTCAAATGTTAAGATGTTGGTCTTTAAGTGGATGGGCTCGGGGATATTTGGGCTGTTATGTGGGGAAGTGACATGGTCAGATTTTTAGCTAAATTGCTCTGCCTGCCATGTGGACAGTGTGTTGGGGCAGCATTTCTTTGCATGAGGTCTCTGGGGATTGGGCTGAATACCCACCCAGCCCAGGGCCTGCAAGTGGACAGGATGGCCTCTGGAAGAATCATCCTAGCCGCTGCTTCATCAGTGTCTCAGGGGAGTGATGGCTATCTGCGGTGGTGGCGTTGGGGTAAAAGAATTTACCAGCCGGGCGTAGTGGCTCACGCCCATAATCCCAGCACTTTGGGAGGCCGAGGCGGGTGGATCACCTAAGGTCAGGAGTTTGAGACCAGCCTGGCCAACATGGTAAAACTCTGTCTCTACTAAAAATACAAAAGTTAGCCGGGCGCGGTGGTGGGTGCTTGTAATCTAATCTCAGCTACTCGAGAGGCTGAGGCAGGAGAATTGCTTGAACCTGGGAGGCGGAGCTTGCAGTGAGCCGAGATTGCGCCACGGCACTCCAGCCTGGGTGACAGAGTGAGACTCCATCTCAAAAAAAGAAAAAAAAAATTTACCAAGGCAGTTGTAGGTAGAGAAAGGCAGATTTATTACAGTAATTAGGAAAACGCCAGGGTTGCAGGGAGGTAACTTGCATTTTTTTGTCAGCTGGGATGTCTGGAAAGTTGAAGTGTTTGATGGTAAGCAGGAAGTTTGTGAGTTCTGCTATCTGAGTAGGAGCTGGGGCTTGTAAAGCAGCCAACAGTTGAGCCTGCCTTTTGGCTCCGTGTTTGTTTTTTTCTTAGTCTTGTCCTCCTTATTTTGTTCTTGGTTATAAAGACTGAGGAGGCTAATTTGGTAATTTTCTGCATAGGGGTCATGCTGTGTTATACAAGAAAATTAGATGTTTCTTTTTGAGAGTTTGGCGGTAGAATTTGTCACAATTCTTTACAGCCTAGAGGCAAGTTTGCAGGAACGGACGGGGTTTGCTCCATGGTGGGACTGGAAAACATGCCGCTCTGGGGCAATGTCAATCAGGGACATGAACTGCACTTTTCTGCGGGGGGCATCTCACTGAGATGAACAGAGGGTTCCACTTACATCCACAGAGGGACTTGGATGCACTTTCCAAAGGGGGCATCCCACCAATTAGAAAAGACCTCCTGGCCGCTCAGGGGCCTCATGCTGGATGGCCAGTCCAGGCACTCACTTATGCTGGGTGATCAGCCCAGGCACGAGGAAAAAGAAGGGTAAAGGAAGATCTCTACCTGGTCTTGGCCCAGGAGGTGGGGTGGGTAAGAGAAGACTCACCGTTCTGAGGCTGTCTGACATCACCTGATTTAGCAAGGCCCAGGACAGGATGGCTGGCTGACTCCATAGGTGAATTTAGAGTGAGAAAGAGAGCGTCTGAGTTACCTAAAACGTGTGTGAGTTTGCCCCGAACAAGCTTCTGCTGTCAATTGTGTCACATATAGGGATGAGGGACTTGCAATTAGAGAAGATGGGCAACAGCCTTTCTCCCTTCCAGGCAGGGCAGCTAGCCCTGTTCACTCTGGGCCTTCAGGCAACACTGGAGAGTGGCCCTGGCCAGTTACCTTTGATTGCCAGAGAGATACTAGAAGCTGGTTGCTGAAAGACTGAAAAAAGAAAAAAAGTCAGGTCACTCACCCAAACCAGGCAATGATGATCAGATGCTTCCACATGGACAGACACCTTTCAGTCTCACTGGAGTGTAGCTCTGGCCAGAGACCTGCAATTGTCTTTGTGCTTAGATGCTGTCCTTCGAGGGTCCCGAGTTGGGAAAGGGAAAGGAGAGAGAGTCCCTGTATGGAGAGGGAGAGTTCCCTGTATGGGCCACCAAAATGTTTCAGGGGAGCAACGGCTATCTGGGCTGGCGGCTCAGGGGTAAGAGAATTTACCAAGACAGTTGTAGGTAGAGAAAGGCAAATTTATTAGAGAAAGTAGAAAAACAGGAGAGCAATGGGCAGGAGAGCAACGGGCAGGCCAGCAGAAGAGGAGCTGACTGCAAGGAAACAAAGGCTTGTTGGGGATTTTGTAGGATGGCTCTTAGGCTGTAGAGTGTTATGTGCAGTACTGATTATGCCAGGGTAGCAGGGAGGTAACTTGCATTTTTTTTTTTTTTTTTTTGTCAGCCAGGGTGTTTGATAAATTGAGGTGTTTGATGGTAAGCAGAAGTTTTTGAGTTATGTACATTATCTGAGCAGGAGGGCCATATGTCTTGGGCCATTTGCCTCATTTCTTTGCTTTCCCCTGGTCCCACCAGCCTGATTTGTTTTTTAATTATTACTCAACAGTGAGTGCTGTCACATGCTGGGCATTGTGCTATGTGCTCTATGTGGAGTAACTCACTTACTGTCCCCCTATCCCCCAAGACCATCCTGTGACATGGGCATTCTTTTTTTTTTGAGATGGAGTCTTGCTCTGTCACCAGGCTGGAGTGCAGAGGTGTGATCTTGGCTCACTGCAACCTCCGCCTTACGGGTTCAAGCGATTCTTCTGCCTCAGCCTCCTGAGTAGCTGGGACTACAGGTGCGTGCCACCACGCCCAATTAATTTTTGTGTTTTTAGTAGAGACGGGTTTTCACCACGTTGGCCAGGATGGTCTCAATCTCTTGACCTGGTGATCCACCTACCTCAGCCTCCCAAAGTCCTGGGATTACAGGCGTGAGCCACCACACCCGACCAGACATGGGCATTCTTATCCTCATTTTGACTGAGTAACTGGGCACAGAGAGGCTGTTATGCATCCCAATTGCAGAGCTAGGCAGCGGCAAGCCCACTTTCACACAGCGCCAGCTGCCTGGCTCTGGGATCAGCCTGTAGTCACTCTCCATTCTGCCCCTCAGGATCTGCTTCTCCCAGGAAGCCTCTCACAGAGGCAGAATTTTGCATTGGCATCCTGCTTCAAGCTTATGAAATCTTCTATACAGATGACCTCATTCCAGCCTTGCAATAATAGCTTCTGTGAGGTATTATTATTCATAGCTTTAAAAAAGCCAGTTGAAGGAAATCCAGTGATTTGTCAAAGGTCAGAAGTTAGGTGGCCGCTCTCCTGCTCAGACTTACGTTTTCTGACTTGGAGTACAGTGCTCCGCTCTCACGTTATCTGTCAGCTGACGCTGCAGCCAGCCTCATACTCAACACATCACATGGTTCGAAGGCTAGGCCACTTTCCACTACTATTGAGCTGCCTCCTCTCTATGAAAATGCTTTTCTGGATTGAGGGAGACAGTCATAGAGAAATGTGTTGTTGGCATCGATTTCCTATGGTTGGGCAATGGCTTCCGCCATCTGGACCAGGTGACGTCAGCTATCTGGATTTCTGCCAGCATTCCCCGGCCCAGGAAACAGACTTCCGGCTGTCTGGGCTCTGAGCCATCTTCGGCCTCCTGGGTGAGTGGGTCTTGCAATTCGCAAAGTGAGGAACTGAAAAGTCAGCTCTCAGGGAAGATTTCACTGTATAAAGTCAGGTAAAAATGGGGAAGAGGCATACTGGGTCAGAGAGACAGGGAGCCCTTCTATCTGAGTCTGGGGCCTTTCTCAGATGAGAGGGGAGGATCTAGTGATCAGACAGGGAAATTGAAGATCTTTGTGACTAAGACTCAAGTCAATTGGGGGTAGATGAGGAGTAAGGTAAGCAAAGCTAAAGAAATCTGGGGAAAGATACACATAAAGATACAAACACAGAAGGTCAAATACTGGCCAAGGATAGAATGTTGATCCCAAAACTCATGCACTTTTCTGTGGACACTGAGACTTGAACAAATCAATAACTTGAGAATGTAAGCAGCCCTCTGCCATGTTATACTTTGTTGAGTTATATAACAGTTGGGGGAAAACCTAAACAATGGTACATGTGTTAAGGTAGACAGTTAAATTGTCCCTCCACCACTCCCTGTCTCATTCCCAACCCTGCTCTCCAGGCCAGGCTCATAAAAGTTGTTACTCATTTTAGCCATTCCTTCAGCCAATATTCATCTTATTCATTCTTACAATCACCCTGTGAGGTAAGAGCTATCATTATGCCTTTATTTTGAAAATTGTAGTAAAATAGACATAGAATTTAGCATTTTAACTGTTTGTAAACATACAGTTCAGTGGCATTAGGTACATCCACATTATTGTGCAACCATCACCATCAGCCACATTCAGAACTTTTTCATCTTCCCCCACTGAAACTCCACCCAGCAAACAATACCTTCACATTCCCCACTTTCCTTAGCCCTGGCAACCACCATTCTACTTTCTGTAGAATGTAACCACTTTAGATGCCTTTTATTTTATTTTTTATTTATTTGTTTTTTTGAGACGGAGTCTTTCTCTGTCACCAAGCCAGAGTGCTGTGGCACGATCCTGGCTCACTGCAACCTCTGCCTCCTGGGTTCTAGTGATTCTCCTGCCCCAGCTTCCCGAGTAGCTGGGATTACAGGAACACGCCACCACGCCCAGCTAATTTTTGTATTTTTAGTAGAGACGGGGTTTCACCATGTTGGCCAGGATGTAGGTGCCTTTTATAAGTGGAATAATAGGCTGGGCGCGATGGCTCACACGTGTAATCCCAGCACTTTGGGAGACCAAGTCTGATGGATCACTTGAGGTCAGGAGTTCGAGACCAGCCTGTCCAACATGGCAAAACCCCATCTCTACTAAAAATACAAAAATTAGCTGGGCATGCTGCCGTGTGCCTGTAATCCCAGCTACTTGGGAGACTGAGGCACAAGAATTGCCTGAACGCGGGAGGCAGAGGTTGCAGTGAGCTGAGCTCACGCTACTGCACTCCAGCAAGATTCTGTCTTAAAAAAAGTGGAATCGGCCAGGCATGGTGGCTCACGAGTGTAATCCCAGCACTTTGGGAGGCCGAAGTGGGCGGATCACCTGAGGTCAGGAATTCAAGACCAGCCTGGCCAACATTGCGAAACCCCGTCTCTACTTAAAATACAAAAATTAGCTGGGCGTGGTGGTGGGCGCCTGTAATCCCAGCTACTTGAGAAGCTGAGGCAGAAGAATCGCTTGAACCCAGGAGGCGAGTTTGTGGTGAGCCGAGATCGCTCCAGCCTGGGTGACAGAGCAAAACTCTGTCTAAAAAAAAAAAAAAAGGTGGAATCATAAAATATTTTTCCTCTTGTGATTGGCTTTTTTTTTTTTTTGAGATGGACTTTTGTTCTTGTTGCCCAGGCTGGAGTGCAATGGCACAATCTTGGCTCACCGCAACCTTTGCCTCCCAGGTTCAAGCTATTCTCCTGCCTCAGCCTCCCGAGTAGCTGGGATTATAGGCATGCACCAACACACTGGGCTAATTTTTTGTATTTTTGGTAGAGACAGGGTTTCTCCATGTTGGTCAGGCTGGTCTCAAACTCCTGACCTCAGGTGATCCACCCGCCTCAGCCTCCCAAAGTGCTAGGATTACAGGCATGAGGCACCACGCCCGATCATGATTGGCTTTTATTTCACTTAGCAGGATGTCTTCAAGGTTTATCCACATTGTAGTGCATATCAGAATTTTCTTTTTAAAAAAATATTCCATTATATGTATATATGTATTATACAATTTTTTTTTTTTTTTTGGGTGGAGACAGAGTCTCCTTCTGTTGCCCAGGCTGGAATGCAGTGGTGCGATCTCAGCCCACTGCAACCTCAGTCTCCCTGGCTCAAGTCAACCTCTCACCACCTTAGTCCCCTGAGTAGCTGGGACTACAGGTATGCACCACCATGCCTGGCTAATTTTTGTGTTTTTGGTAGAGATGAGGTCTCATCAAGTTGCCCAGGCTGGTCTCGAACTCCTAGGTTCAAGCAATCCTCCCACCTCAGCCTCCCAAAGTGCTTGGATTACAGGTGTGAGCTACCAGGCCTGGCCACATTTTGCTTATTCATTCATCTATTGATGGACACTTGGATGGCTTCCACCTTTTGGCTATTGTGAATGATGCTGCTGTGAATGTGGGTATACAATTTAATAACATTTATATTGAGATACAATTCACATACTATATAATTCACCTTGTAAGAGGTGGAGGTTGCAGTGTGGTGAGCCGAGATCATGCTCCTGCACTCCAGCCTGGGGGGTACAAAGTGAGACGCCATCTCAAAAAAAAAAAAAATCCACCCTTTAAAAATGTACAATGAAATGTGTTTTTTTTTTTTTTTTTTTTGAGACAGAGTCTCACTCTATTGCCCAGGTTGGAGTGCAGTGGCTCAGTCTTGGCTCACTGCTACCTCTGCCGCCCTGGTTCAAGCGACACTCCTGCTCAGACCAGAGTAGCTAGGATTATAGGCTCCTGCCACCGTGCCCGGCTAATTTTTGTATTTTTAGTAGAGATGGGGTTTCACCATCTTGGCCAGGCTGGTCTTGAACTCCTGACCACGTGATCCACCCACCTCGGCCTCCCAAAGTGCTGGGATTACAGGCGTGAGCCGCCGCACCCGGCAGAAATGGTTTTTAGTATATTCACAGAGTTGTGCAACCATCACCACAATTTTAGAACATTTTCATCACACTCAAAGACGTCCCATGCTCATTAGCAGTCATTTCCGGTTTTACCCCCAATCTCTCCCCTTCCCAGCCTTAAGCAACCACTAATCTACTTTTTGTCTCTATAGATTTGCCTACACTGGACATTTCATATAAACAATCATACAATATGTGGCATTTTATGTCTGGCTTCTTTCACTTAGCATAGTGTTTTCAGTGTTGTAGCATGAATCAGTACTTTCTTTTTATTGTTGAATACTATTTCATTGTATGGATATACCATATTTTATTTATACATTCATCAGTTGATGGACATTTATACTGTTTCCAAATTTTAGCTATTATGAATAATGCTAGTGTGAACATTCATGTATAAGATTTTGTGTGGACATCCATTTTCTCTTTGGTATACACTTAGGAGTGGAATTTCGAGGTCATTAACTTTATGTTCCACTTTTGAGAACTGCTTTCCAATGTTGCTGAGCCATTTGACATTCTCACCAGCAGTGTATGAAGGTTCCAGTTTCTCCAGTCTGTCTTTTTGATTCTAGCCATCTTAGTGGGTATGAAGTGGTATTTCATGGTGGTTTAGATTTGCATTTTCTTGGTGGTTAATGATGTTGAATATCTTTTTTTTTTTTTTTTTGAGATGGAGTCTCGCTCTGTCGCCCAGGCTGGAATGCAGTGGCACGATCTCAGCTCACTGCAACTTCTGCCTCCTGGGTTCAAGCGATTCTCCTGCCTCAGTTTCCTGAGTAGCTGGGACTACAGGTGTGCACCACCACTCCTGGCTATTTTTTTATATTTTTACTAGAGATAGGGTTTCAGCATGTTGGCCAGGCTGGTCTCAAACTCCTGACCTCAAGTGATCCGCCCACCTCGGCCTCCCAAAGTGCTGAGTCACCGCGCCTGGCCTGAACGTCTTCTCATGTGCTTATTGGTCATTTGTATACCTTTGGAGAAATGTTTATTCAGATCCTTTGCGTATTTTTTAATTGAGTTGTCTTTTTATTATTGAGTTGTAAGAGTTTGTTATAAATTCTAAATATAAGTCTCTTAACTGATACATAATTTACAAATATTTTATCCCATTCTATGGGTCTTTTTTACCTGTTTCTTTCTTTCTTTCTTTTCTTTTTTTTTTTTTTTTTTAATAGCGACAGGGTCTCGCTTTGTTGCCTAGGCTGATCTCGAACTCTTGGGCTCAAGCAATCCTCCTGGCTTGGCCTCCCAAAGTGCTTGGGCTACAGGCATGGGCCACCATGCCCAGCCTATTTTCTTAATGTCCTTTGAAGCACAAAAGTTTTAAATTTTGAAGTCCAATTTATCTATTTTTTTTTCCTGCTTGTGCACTGTGTCATAGCTAAGAAACCACTGCCTAGTCTGTGGTCACAAAGATTTACATCTGTCTTTTCTTCTAAGAATTTAATAGTTTTATCTCTTCCATGTAGGTCTTTGATCTATTTTGAATAAATTTTTGTCTATGGTATGAGGTAAGGGTCCAACTTCATTCTTTTGCATGTGCATATCCAGTGGTCTCAGCATTAGTATGCCTTGTTACGGAGGAATAAATTTTCAGCTTCGTAAGAAAAGGACCATGGGCCTGGCAAGGTTGCTTATGCCTGTAATCCCAGCACTTTGGGAGGCCAAGGTGGGAGCATCACTTGAGCCCTGGAGTTCGAGACCAGCCTGGGCATTAGAGTGAGACCCCGTCTCTACTTAAAAAAGAAAAGGAAAGAAAAGAAAAAGGACTGTGCCCGGTTTTGCTCACCATTATCTTCCCAGGATTCTCTTAGCCCCATGCAAGACACATGCTACATGCTCAATAAATATAGCCTGAGTGAGTGAACATATGAGTGACTGAGACTCAGTGTGGTTAAATAACTTGCATAGGTCAGTCAGTTGGAAGGTGGCCAGATATGGCTCAAACCCAGATCTTCTCATCTAATTCTTTTTTTTTTTTTTGAGATGGAGTCTTGTCGTCAGGCTGGAGTGCAGTGGCATGATCTCGGCTCACTGCAACCTCCACCTCCCAGGTTGAAGCGATTCTCCTGCCTCAGCCTCCTGAGTAGCTGGGACTACAGGCGCGCACCACCACGCCCAGCTAACTTTTGTGTTTTTAGTAGAGACAGGGTTTCACCATGTTGGCCAGGATGGTCTCGATATCTTGACCTCATGATCCGCCTGCCTCGGCCTCCCAAAGCGTTGGGATTACAGGCATGAGCCACTGCACCTGGCCTTCTCATCTAATTCTAATTAAGAGTTTTTGTATAATACTTCAAAGTTTCTGAAAATTTCCTGAGTTACCAAAAGCTCTTTGTCACAAGAAACCATATTTCTTAGGCTGGGGGTGGTGCTCACGCCTGTAATCCTAACACTTTGGGAGGCTGAGGTGGGTGGAATACCTGAGGTCAGGAGTTCGAGACCAGCCTGGCCACATGGTGAAACCCTGTCTCTACTAAAAGTACAAAAATTAGCCGGGCGTGGTGGCAAGCACCTGTAATCCCAGCTACTGGGGAGGCTGAGGCAGGGAATCGCTTGAACCCGGGGGCAGAGGTTGCAGTGAGCCGAGATCATGCCACTTCACTCCAGCCTGGGCAAAAGAGTGAGACTCCGTCTCAAAAAAATAAAATAAAATAAAATAAAATAAAATAAAAATAAAAATAAAAATAAAAAATAAAAAGAAACGGTATTTCTCCAAAGTTTCATTTGCTGTCTCTGCTGTATGATCCCAATCATTTCATTGTTTGTGAGCAGCAAAACTCAAATCTAGGGAGCCTCATGTCCCTTCTGCTTCTGACTCCTCCCTCACTCGAGCCACAGAGTCAAAGATTCCACTTCCTTCTAGGGTAGTTTTATAGTTGGAAAGTTCTTCTAAATCTCGGACCACAACCTCCTGCTGCAAAATTGTGCCATAAATCCCCATGAGTGTTCAGTGTAACCATTGACTATAGGACCTGGTTTGATGTGGGAGGCATTTGGGGCTTGCGGAAAGCTTTATGTGCTCTGCCCCGTACAAAGGGCAGCCTTGGGGCAGCCGATGCCCTTGCTCTGGCCCTGACATGCTGCTCCCTTTTTGAAGTGTGGTTTCTGATTCTGGGTGCAGCTTGCCATATCAGAGGAGAATGAAGCTAGGTGGCATGAACCCCAGAAAATTTTGGTGAACTCACCTCTTGGAATGAGGACAAAGGAGAGTCTTGAAGCAGAAAAGAGCTGTGCTCCTTGAAGGGGTCCAAAGTTAAAGCTCACACTGGGGTGGATTGGGTAGACTTACCTGTCCCCTCTTTGACAGTGATGCATTTGAGCTTCTCCTATTGGGTCCTTTGGAAAAGAATTCTTTGAACTACTAGAAAATTAGGACAGGGTGGGGGCAAAAGAAAACGTATATTGAGAGCTTGCTCCATGTATTTGTTAGGCATTTAATCTAGGTATCTAATTTTATCTTCAAAGTAATCCTGTGGGTTGGTTTTATCAATCCTATTTTGCAGAGTTGGATGCTGAAACTTGCAGTCACACAAGGACTTGAACCTAGAGCTTTTCTAAAGCCCGTACTCTTTCCAGTACCCTGAGCCAGGGGAGCCAGCGGGCAGAAATGACGTGTGAGGTACCCTCTCTCTCTTCACTTCCATGTGATCTGTTACTCATTTTGTCAAGACATCCTGGGTCCCAGGTAAGCTCCAGTGATTCCCCTGAACCAGTGGTGTGCTGGAGCCAGCTCAGACCTGCTAGTGAGAGTGTTAAATATTCAGGAAATTTGCAAGCTGGTTGTTAAACTGTCAGTGGTTGGAAATTGGTCATGGGAGGAAGTATCTACACCACGGAATAACTACACACGGATAACTGCTACAAATCAGGGATCCCCATCTCCCCCACAAGCTGGTTTGCTAACACATCACTGTCTTTCTTTTTTTTTTTTTTTTTTTTGAGACAGAGTCTCACTCTGTCGCTCAGGCTGGAATGCTGTGGCGTGATCTTGGCTCAGTGCAGCCTCTGCCTCCCAGGTTTAAGCAATTCTCCTGCCCAAGTAGCTGGGATTACAGGCACGTGCCACCATGCCTGGCAATTTTCGTATTTTTAGTAGAGACAGGGTTTCGCAATGTTGGCCAGGCTAGTCTTGAACTCCTGGCCTCAAGTGATCCACCAGACTCGGCCTCCCAAAGTGCTGGGATTACAGGTGTGAGTCACCGCGCCCGGCCCAGAGCACTAACCTTGGGGTCCAGAGTGAGAGCTGAAGAGAACAGGGCCTGCCCCCAGCAGTCACAGAGTTTCAGCTGCAGACTGAGGGAAGACCGATAGTATCTATGGGAAAGTGTGTGCACAAAAGAGACAGAAAAGAGGCTGGAGAATATTGATTATTCACACATGAACAAAGTAAGTACCAATGTTATTAATCCCAGGGATTTTGCTGGGAGGAGTTCTGGCTTGTTATTAGGGTCCTTTTCTTTCAGATCAAGAAAAGGGAGATCTAATTCATGAAGAAACTAGAAAAGTGCCCTGGATTGGTGGGAGTGTGGTGGGGGTGGTGCTGCACAACACAGAAGAGGGGAACTTTGACTTTGAGCCTGAGGTCTTGGGATGAAAAGCAGTTTGTGGACCGGATTCCTGACCCTGGGGTTACAGTAGGAATCCCTTTGCCTGACAGGTGGTGACCTTCCTCTGGCAAGGTCCCCAGACTCCTAAGGCAGAAGCAATCCTCCCATCTCAGTCTGCCAAGTAGCTGGGACTACAGGTGCTCACCAACACACCTGGCTAATTTTTGTGTTTTTTTGGTAGAGATGGGGTTATTCCAGGCTGGGATCTGTGAAGAGCAGAACAACTCTAAGCCCCAGGGCAAAAATCTGCAGAGCTGAGTCTCATGCCACTTTGGGGCACTCCATCTGAGGCCTGGAATCAGAGGCCTTCCGCAGCTTGTGTAGATGCTGCCAAAAGGCTGAGCTCGGTGGCCCATGCCTGTAATCCCAGCACTGTGGGAGGCTGAGGCAGGCAGATTACTTGAACCTAGGAGTTTGAGACCAGCCTGGGCCACATGGTGTACCCCCATCTCTACAAAAAATATAAAAATTAGCCAGGTGTGTTGGTGAGCACCTGTAGTACCAACTACTTGGGAGGCTGAGGTGGGAGGATTGCCCCAGGGGTTTGAGGCTGCAGTGAGCCATGATCATGCCACTGTACTCCAGCTTGGGCAACAGAATGAGACCCCATCTCAAAAACAACCAAAAAGATGCTGCAAAGAAACAGCAGCCTCCTGTAACAAAATAAGTGGTACATCTTTTGTGATGGGAGCATCTCCCTGGGGAGCGAAGCTGGACGTTGCAGCCCTACCCTGTCCCCAGAGGTTTTTCTGTCCCTTTATGTCTATGAACAAGTACAGCTGAGGCCATCAGCACTGCACACACCTGGAACAGTCTTGTTAAAACAGGACCTCCCTAAAGGCCAAGAGCTAAGGAAAGAGAAAGTGAAGGACTGAGCAGCAGGTAACCAGAATCAGAGTCATTGAAGGCAACTGCAGGAGTTGCCCCTTCCTGGCTCCCTCCCATGGCAACTCCCTGAGTCTGAGTAGAGAAGGTTAGAGACGCATGGAGGTTCCCACCCCTCCTGTGAAAGGCTCCCTTCTGAGTTCCAGGTCCCTATCTGATGACCCACCTCACCTATGCCTGCCTAATACCTGAATGGCCATCTCTTTCAGAGACCACTCTTATTCCCAGGTGTGTGACCTCCTCCTACAGACTACAGTGGGAAAGACACCATCTCCAGGTAACCCCAACACAGTGAGGGGTGGAGCGGGGATGTGGTCATTCGTTCCAGGTATTGTTGATTCTCTTGAGGTTCAATCCAGGGCTAGAGATTGTGATTAAAGAGATACCCAGATTGGGTATGCGTGTAAAGGGCAAGAGCTATGAGACCAATGTGACATTTAGGATTAATTAGTCCCTTCCACAGGGCAGGCTGCCACTCACTGGTACAGCTCCTGGGCTGAGCCTGGCAGAGCTCATTAGCAAGGCAGACACTGGAATGTGTGTGCAATGGAGGGAGGCTTAAACTCAGAGGCTGCTGGTTCCTATTAAGCAGAGAGAGGTTAGAACTTAGTGGCACAGAAACTGATATCAGCTAAATATGGGTTAGTCACCAACCCTGCACCATCTTCCCTAACCTTTGAGAAAGTCTTTTCCTACTGCTTGTTCACATCCATTCATTCAACAAACAATTATGAATTTTCTCTTAGGTGCCAGGTGCTACACAAGATACTGGCTATAGCAGCGAACAGGACAGCCCGTCTCATCCTCATGGAGGTCACAGGACAATGAGAAGAAAGACTTTTTTATTTTTATTTTTTTGAGACGGAGTTTTGCTCTTGTTGCCGAGGCTGGAGTGCAGTGGTGTGATCTCGACTCACTGCAACCTCCGCCTCCCAAGTTCAAGCAATTATCCTGCCTCAGGCCTCTTGAGTAGCTGGGATTACAGGCACCTGCCACCACTCCTGGCTAATTTTTTGTATTTTTAGTAGAGACAGGGGTTTCATCATGTTGGCCAGGCTGGTCTCGAACTCCTGACCTCAGGTGATCCACCCACCTCGGCCTCCCAAAGTGCAGGGATTACAGGCATGAGCCATCGAACCCGGCCCAAGAAGAAAGACATTGAACAAGTAATTACAGGGTATTGGGTGTTATGAAAGAAAAGCATGGTACTGTATAATGAGGTCATCTAATTTAGTCTGGGGTGACAAGGAATGCCTACTAAAGAAGGTATCGTTTAAGACATACCTGGGGAATAGCGGTAGTGAAAATAGAAGCTCCAGAAATGCAGGGACCATGGCTGACATGTTTACCATGCCAGTGTCTGGCATGGAAGAGGCCCAATTCCTTTGGTTGAAAGGATGAAGTAATCTAGCTGAATAAAGGGTGTGTGCGTGCACGCAGGTGTGTTTGTAGTTAACCTTCCTTTAGCTCAGCTTAGGAAACAGCTTTTGTAAAACTGCGTAACTAGTAGTAGGTGAGAGAGGAATACGAATGATATACACACCATTAAAGACAACTTACTAACAGCATGAGTCCGACATAGATTCCTTCCTACTTGGGTTTGAACCCTGAGCCCACCACTTACTAGCTGTGAGAAAGTGAATGAGTTGCCTCCCTTTCCTGTGCCTCTGTTTCTTGTAAATTCTATTTCCAAGCATCATGAGGATAAAAGACAATGTATATACGTTGTTTGGCATATTACAGTCAATGCTTGGTAACTACTATTGTTATTTTTTAAAAAATTATTATTATTATTTTTTGAGACGGACTCTCGCTCTGTCGCCCAGGCTGGAGTGCAGTGGCGCTATCTTGGCTCACTGCAAGCTCTGCCTCTTGGGTTCACACCATTCTCCTGCCTCGGCCTCCTGAGCAGCTGGGACTACAGGCGCCCGCAACCACGCCCGGCTAATTTTTTGTATTTTTAGTAGAGACGGGGTTTCACTGTGTTAGCCAGGATGGTCTCGATCTCCTAACCTCGTGATCCGCCTGCCTCGGCCTCCCAAAGTGCTGGGATTACAGGCGCGAGCCACCGTGCCCGGCCCCACTATTGTTATTTATGTACACCAAATTTATATCCAAAGGGACTTTGATAGTTACAAGAAAAGACATATAAGTCCAGATATCATTGAACAAGAGTAAAATAATAAATCAAGTAGGAATGGAGGGGAGGATATGCATGCAGCACTAGATAATATCTATACAGAGAGAGGATGAGGTCTTGGAAGATGAGTCTGAAGACTTTCCTGTTGGAGAGGGGCTCTATGCTCGGCATGCTGACTGCTTTTACAACCCCACCCCCACATCTCATCTTAACCACAAGACAGTCTTGTTCTGGGGAGTTCAGAGCCTTTATTTTTTATTTATTTATTTATTTTTTGAGATGGAGTCTCACTCTGTCACCCTGGCTGAAGTGCAATGGCATGATCTCAGCTCACTACAACCTTTGCCTCCCAGGTTCAAGCGATTCTCCTGCCTCAGCCTCCTGAGTAACTGGGATTACAGGCACGTGCCACCAAGCCCAGCTAATTTTTGTATTTTTAGTAGAGATGGGGTTTCACCATGTTGGCCAGGCTGGTCTCGAACTCCTGACCTCGTGAGCTGTCCACCTCGGCCTCCCAAAGTGCTGGGATTACAGGCGTGAGCCACTGCGCCCGGCCCCAGAGTCTTTATTTATTATTTAGAGAGGGTCTCACTCTGTCACCCAGGCTGTAGTGTAGTGGTGCGATCTTGGCTCACTGCAGCCTTAACCTCCCAGGCTCAAGCAATCCTCTCACTTCAGCCTCCTGAGTAATTGGGGCCACAGGCTCACACCACCATGCCTGGCTAATTTTTTAAAAAAATTTTTATAGAGACAAGGTCTTGCCATGTTGCCCAGGCTGGTCTTGAACTCTTGGGCTCAAGTGATCCTCCTGCCTCAGCCTCCCAAAGTGCTGGGATTACAGACATCAGCCACCGTGCCCAGCCCAGAATCTTTCAACCCCCAAAATCCATTGGTGTGGGGTTAGATGAGGGATCCTAAAAGGAGAGGGAGGCTGCTGTGCAGTGATCCCACCGGCCTGCTTGCAGGAAGGAGAGCCGACCCTTTCTTGACCTCTACCAAAGACACTAGAGAGCTTTGTAAATCTTCCAATTAGATGATACATAAATACTTCCCCAGGTCTTCTAGGCCTGATTCAATAATATTTACTTCGAGAGGCTGCTGCTTCCTGTTTGTATTCTCTTACCACAAGTTATCTGCTGTTCCTACTTTCACTTAAGCTTTGTATCGTACTCTGTGAGAAATGTTTGAGCTGGCTGGACACATTTCCTGAAATCATTTCTCTAGTCTTTTACGAAATGTCTGCATTTATGCTGGAATCATAGAGCTGAACTATCATTGAGATAAAAATTCCAGTCTTTACCCCAATTTACAATTCCTAAAAACTGTCACTTTCTTAGATCTCTTCACATTTTCATTACTTCTTTTTTTTTTTGTTTTTTGTTTTTTGTTTTTTGAGACTGAGTTTTGCTCTTGTTGCCCAGGCTGGAGTGTAATGGTGCGATCTCGGCTCACTGCAACCTCCGCCTCCCAGATTCAAGTGATTCTTCCTGCCTCAGTCTCCTGAGTAGCTGGGATTACAGGCGCCCGCCACCATGCCCGGCTAATTTTTGTATTTTTAGTAGAGACAGGGTTTCACCATATTTGGCAGGCTGGTCTCAAACTCCTGACCTTGGCCTCCCAAAGTACTGGGATTACAGGCGTAAGCCACCACACCTGGCCAGACATTTTCATTGCTTCTATTACCTGTGTAAGCAAGTGGCTTTATTGGGAGGCGATTTTCACAAAGAAACAAGGTTTTTTAAAAAAGGTGTTTCCCGTAGGTTTCTGCCTGTGAGACCACCTGCTGAGAAATGCAGAGCCGCTTTGGGAAGCTGGGTAGTCAGCTCTCATCCATACTCACTCAACCATGCCCAGCTGGGCAGTGCCACTTGTGTCTGAGCCTCAGCAAAACTGCATGTCCCTAAATGTCAGGGGTCTTCACAGACAAGTGAAGCAACCAGAAATACTGAATTTTCAGATGGACATGTTTATCGTACTGAATCTCCATAGCCAGGAGGCACAGACAACTAATAAAGCCCTGTGCCCCATTATTGCTTCATTGATTCACTGAAATAATGCTGGGTATGATTGTGGCTACAGAGTTAAGCCCCATTGTTAATTATATGGTTTGGTGAGGGAAAGAGTTTTTTTTGTTTTTGTTTTGGCTAGACTAATGTAAACACAGTTCAAATGTTGCTCCTTCACTGGGGACAGAAAAATCCATATGTGGCTCACGCCTGTAATCCTAGCACTTTGGAAGGCCAAGGCAGGCAGATTGCTTGAGTCCAGGAGTTTGAGACTGGCCTGGGCAAGATGACAAAACCCTGTCTCTACTAAAAATAAAAAACAAAAAATTAATTTAATTTAAAAAACTGAGGTGAGAGGATCACCTGAGCTTGGGGATGTCAAGGCTGCCATGAGCCATGTTTGTGCCACTGCACTCCACCATGGATGACAGAGTAAGACCCCATCTTAAAAAAAAAATCCACGTAATATAGTTCACATCTTTGCTTCCCATGTAAATTCCTCTTTTTTGTGTGTCACTATCAGTATGTAATTATTGAAACTTCAAGGTATGACTCTTGTTAGGAAATGATAGAGAAAAAACAATTGCTCTATAATCACCCCTTACATTGTGACTTCTTGCAAATAAATACACCCCACTTTCAGCCTCACTCATTTATTATAAAATTGTAAGAGGTGGAACAAGCCTTTGTTTAGAGATGTGATTCATGTGTTGCTTGCTGGAGTTTCTGAAAACAAACAAACAAACAAAAAAACCCAAGATAGCAGATGGCCAGATGAGCCACTGGGAATGGAGCAATGGCTGGTCATGGCTTCTGTCAAACACAAAGCTCTGACTGGAGAAGCTTGGAATCTTCTGGATGTCTTTTGCAAAGATGACAAATTCTTTTAGATAGGCTGCTGCTTGAAGGTAAGATGGAAGAAGCTTTGTTCATTGTATTATGGAGGTCTTTGACCCCCACCTCCTCCCACCCCATGAACTCAGACCTTCCACATTAGACCTGGGCTGTCCCTCAGCATCTTTGCTGCACATTGCATGAAACTTTTCAGTTATTTCATATAACTTCCAGGTGTTTGAAATACGAAATGCGTAAGAGACATGTTCCTGAGATGTCGGAGTGAGGTTTCCTTTGAGAGAAGGAAGTGAGGGTTGTTGCCTACAGATTGTTGAGGGTAATAATGGGATGAGGCATAAAAAGGACCTAGCCTAGCAGCAGGCATGTAGTAAGAGCTCAGTAAGTATTACATTTGTTTAATTAGTGTCTGCCTACCAGGTTCAACCCTTGGCTTCATATGTCCAGCAACACTTCCTAACTTGCCCATTCTTGCCCTTCCTTGGGTCCTGCTGTTTATTCTGTTCTCTGAAATAAGGAGTTCCTCCCAGTATTGTAGCTGATAAGGTTAGAGCTCAAAGCAGTTAGGGACCTCAAGAGGTATCCTAGTCTGGTTCCTGGTCTAGATAAAATATTATCCCTTATTGCAGAAGTAGCAACTGAATCTAGGAAAGGTTGAGTGATTTGAGAGACTATAGTAGGCATAGGTGGGGATATTGGCTAATTCTTAGTTCTTCTGACTTAGGAGCATCTAGGTCGTGGACACAGAGTGTCCCTTTTTTCAAAGTGGAGTCCCACAGTGCATCATTTACAGTTATTCTAGCTGCTGGTGGTATTTGGAGGAGTATCCTAAACACTTCTCTTTCCAAATCACAGGCCCAGTTGGGATCAGGAACATCAACTCATATCACATGAGCAGAACTTGTTCATTTGGGGACATCCCCAATAATGCCAAAATCTATGCTCCAGATGAGTAAGAGTATGAATTGGAACCACTTTCAGGGAACCTCTTGTCTGCACCTCATTCTGTTTTTATTTATTTATTTATTTATTTATTTATTTATTATTTTTGAGATAGAGTCTCACTCTGTTGCCCAGGCTGGAGTGCAATGGTGCTATCTCAGCTCACTGCAACTTCTGCCTTCCTGGTTCTAGTGATTTTCCTGCCTCAGCCTCCCAAGTAGCTGGGACTACAGGCACGTGCCACCACGCCTGGCTAGTTTTTGTATTTTTAGTAGAGACGGAGTTTTACCATGTTGACCAGGCTGGTCTTGAACTCCTGACCTCAAGTGATCTACCCACCTTGGCCTCCCAAAGTGCTGGGATTATAGGCGTGAAATACCACGCCCCGCCTGCACATCATTCTGGGTGGCTGAATCCTCCACTCTCCTGGTTCTCTCCTCTGTGCTGGTAGGAGGGGAGGCTGGGAGAGAATGGGAGAGGTGGTCATGATCAGTAAAGAGACAATTGGAGGGAGATGGTCCAACCCTGTGGTTCTGGACTCTGAAGTGGTCTTTACTGAAAACAGCAGATTCCTAGGCTCAGAACAGTGGCAAAATAGCTTGGAATTTAGGGGTCTCTGATTTTTTTCAGATTCTCCCAAGCTGGAGTGCAGTGGTGTGATCTCAGCTCACTGCAACCTCTGCCTCCCGGGCTCAAGTGATCCTCCCACCTCAGCCTCCTGAGTAGCTGGGACTACAGGTGCATGCCACCACACCTAGCTAATTTTTGTAGTTTTGGTAGAGATCTTCCTGTCTTGCCCAAGCTGGTCTTGACCTCCTGGGATCAAGCAATCTGCCTGCCTCAGCCTCCCAAAATGCTGGGATTGCAGGTGTGAGCCACCGTACCCTGCCTCATATATTTTGTTTCGTAATAAGTTTACTTTAAATCAAGATCGAAGGCCAGGCACGGTGGCTCACACCTATAATCCCAAAAGTGTGATTTCAGAATACAAAATTTGGGATTATAATTTGTAATCCCAAAAGTGGGATTTGGGCATGGGCCACCACACCCGGCTGATTTTTTTTTTTTTTTTTTTTTTGATAGAGACAGGTTTTATACCACATTGCCCAGGCTGGTTTCGAACTCCTTGATTGAAGCGATCTACCTGCCTTGGTCTGACAAAGTGCTGAGATTACAGATGTGCCTTGCCTGACCTGATTATTGTTTTTTATATCTCCTTTAATGTACAGGTTAGCTCTCTCATTTTTTCCCCCTCTTGAAATAGGTTTGTTGGAGAAAATGGATTTTTTTTGTACTGTACAGCTTTCCAGTCTGGGTTTTGCTGATTCTACCCTGGAGGTGCTATGTAAGACACTCCTCTGATCGCTGACTTCTTGTGAATTGCTAATTTCATCTAGAGGTCTGATCAGATTGAAGTTCAGTGTTTGTTTTTGCAGGGCCCCTTCTCAGGGAATGTTGTGAACATTCACCCAGAGGTACATGCTGTCTGCTTGTGTCCGTCTCTTTTGGTGATGTTCTAAGTCATTCGTGATCATCGACTAATCCATTATTTCATTAGGAGTTGCAAAATAGTAATATTGGAATTCTATTATTTCTTTCTTCATTTATGTATTTATTCTTTTTTCTCCCCCACACCCACTCTCCTGCCCTGCTCGCTCCTTTCTTCAGTTATTAGGTAGACTGCTTGTGTAAGAGAAATTGCTTCATCAACCATGGGGTTCAGTTATGGTTTCTATAGGAAAGGCAGAATAAAGGATTTCTCTTTATTACCAGTTTTCAAGTTGTTGAGTTGGTTACGTAGAGTCCTTCACAAGTGACCAATTATTTAAGATACCATTATGAAATCATGGATTGAAACATATTTGATGTACTTCAGTTCACTATAGTCCATTATAGTGATTAGTCTTATGAATGCTCAAATTGTCCCGTCTTTGGCAAGTGGGAGTCTTTTCACCTCTTTCTGACACAGTCCAAAGAGACTTTGATAGCTTTTTGAGTTTCTGATTTGACCAGATATCGAAGCACATCTTGTACATTTCCGTTCCCAGTCTGAGAGCCAAGCATTTCTTTAAGAAGATCTGATTTCAGTTGAAGGGAAATGATAGACTGCCAGAGATGCTTGTTGCTGCTGGATTGGTTCTTGTTTCTAGGGCCTTTTAGTGGGAAGAAAATATAAACATATTTTAAAAATAAACTCATTGTCTGTTTATACTAATACTTTCTTTATTTTTTTAAAAATTTTTTTACCAGCTCTAGGATCAAGGAAAAAGATACTTTCCATTCAAATAGAGGCTCTCAGTGTTTTTATATAACTTCACATACTTGCATCTGTTTTTTTCTCCCAACCAAATATTCTAGTTTCCAAATCCACCAACGTTTGCTTTATCCCTCAATACTTATACACAGTCTTAAAATAACAACATCAATATTATCGCCATTAATATGATAATGCTTTTCCATGAAAGGGCCATACATGCAAAGTGGCCCCCAAAGGTCAAAGGAGCTGAGAAACCAAAGAACAAGGTAGGCAAGTCCAGTTTGTTGCTAAAGCGTGTTTCACTGGGGAACTTACAGACGGAAGCCTGCTCTTGGGCAGCTGCAAGACAGGTGGATCTCACACTGTTATCTCAGACCCAAGGCTTATTTATATACCATAGGGAAAGAGTATATGTGCTTAGTGCAAGACAAAGGCAACTGTCCAGAACAGGCTAGAATGCTATGTGCGTCACAGCCTATAATTTGTGTGATAACATCAAAGTTGATATATTCTTACACTAGGGACAGTAAATAAAGTAGGAATCAGGAGGCGTTCCTGGGACTGGGGCTAATCAGATGACGACATGGTGGATTAGCATCCAAGATGGGGCCACTTTTGTCTCCACAATAAAACTATTCTTTCAGTTCCTTTTTTTTTGTCCTTAGGGTATATCTCACTAGGAATATACAATCAAATTGCAGTGGTCTAAAGTTGTTTGAGACAGTTTTTCTCTCTGTAATTGTATCACTAACTCACTGTGCGGATAGTCTTTTATTTTTGCTTTTGATTTTTAGAAATTTAAATATATACATGTATATATTCTTAGATATAGAGTAGCATCCAGATTTCCCCACTTCTCTTTTTTTTAAATGAACATTGGGATAAAATTGACATACAGTTTGACCTTTCTTTACTTAACAATAGGTGCTGTCAATCAGCCCATGGCAGTATGTAGAGATATTTATTCTTTTTTTAATGCTCCATAGTACTTCATATTTAATTTAGTCAGTCCCTTGTTGTTAGACATTTGGGTTATTTCCAGTATTTATTTATTTATTTATTTTTAAAATTTGAAATAGAGATGGAGTTTCACCATGTTGCTCAGGCTGGCCTTGAACTCCTGGGCTTAAGCAAACAGCCCGCCTTGGCCTCTCAAAAAGTGCTAGGATTACAGCCACCATGCTCGGCCTATTTCTAGTCTTTTGTTATGACAAACAGAGCTGCAATAAATAGCCTACACAAATACTTTTTCATATTTTTGCCAGTGATGTTTTGGAATAGTTTCCTAGAAACTGTATTGCTGGAAATGCATATGTAATTTTGCTAGATACAGCCAGTCAAATTCCCTTCCATAGAGATTGCCTCATTTTGCATTCCTAGTCACAATGTACTAGAATGCCTATTTCCCTATAGCTTTGCCAACTACATGTATTGACAAATTTTTGGATTTTTTGCCGATCTGATAGGTATAATATGCTACCTTAGGATAGTTGTTTTGTTTCGTTTGTTTTGTTTTTTGTTTTTGTTTTTGTTTTGTTTTTTGTTTTTTTGCGATTCTCCTGCCTCAGCCTCCTGAGTAGCTGGGACTACAAGTGAGCGCCACCATGCTTGACTAATTTTTGCATTTTTAGTAGAGACGGGGTTTCACCATATTGGCCAGGCTGGTCTTGAACTCCCGACCTCATGATCCACCTCCCTTGGCCTCCCAAAGTGCTGGGATTACAGGCATGAGCCACCATGCCCAGCCAAAATTTATCACTCTTTCTCTTCAATTGCAGCTGAAGATTTAGCCATAGTTATGCAAGTCTTTTCCACTCCCAAGCTGTAGAAGAATTTATTTCCCTTTAATATTGTGTGGTTTTTGTTTTTTAAAGTCTCATATGGAATTTATCTTTTTGTATGTATGCTATGATAAGTGGACCAACTTTTATCTTTTTTCATATAGAGTCTCAAATTTGATATTACTAGCTCCTCTCTCCCACTCCCTCCCTTCAGCTTGATTTTTCCTGGACATTTTATTATTTTCTTGGCCAAAGCTGGACATGGATCAAAATAAACGTCTGTTCAACTCCCTGTGTTTGGTTCCATTTTGCTGCCTGTTTTTCTTTCCTGGATTCTTTGTGATTTCAGCACAGTGTTTTTCCAGCCATTCAAGGAGTTATGACCTTTAGGGCTTGAGGAAGAGTGCATTAAAGGCCTGTCCAGAGAATGATTCAAGCTGGAGTGGATCCTGTAGACGTCCAGGAGGGCCCAGCTCTACTTGGGCCAGGGGGTTGGAGAGCTGCTTCTCAGGAGCAGGATAGCCACTCACGCGTGTGAAGCACTCAGGAGCCCAGTTTTTTGTGTTTTTGTTTTTTCCTTGAGACGGAGTCTTACTGTGTCGCCTGGGCTGGAGTGCAGTGGTGTGATCTCGGCTCACTGCAACCTCTGTCTCTTGGGTTCAAGTGATTCTCCTGCCTCAGCCTCCTGAGTAGCTGGGATTACAGGCGCCCGCCACCACACCCAGCTAATTTTTATTTTTAGTAGAGACGGGGTTTCACCATGTTGGCCAGGCTGGTCTCGAACTCTTGACCTCAGGTGATCTGTCCAGCAGCCTCCCAACGTGTTGGGATTACAGGCGTGAACCACGGCGCCTGTCCTGGAGCCCAGTTTTTGTTGATAACCCATGTTTCCTGTTTCCACCCCTCCCCTGCTCTTGATTTCCATTAGGAATTTCTACCTTTCTAACTGGAAAAGACTGGGGTCAGGGGGTGGAGAAGTGGGCAGAGGAAGGGAGGAGTGGAATACAGAAATTGAAACCTGTCTTACTCTGCTCATGTAACTCCTAGCGCAGATCCATATCATTAATGCCAACTACCATTTAGTGGTTATTTCCTACCACCACGCATCAGATACTGCGCTAAGTACTTTATACAGAATAAATCATTTCATCTTGACCTGTTAGTTGGCTAGGGTGGTTACTTCCAGAAGGAAAAAGAGGCCCAGAGATAAGTTCACACAATTGGTAAGTAGTGGGATTTGGGTCTGTGTGACATCAGATTCCAGGCTCAAAACGTCTAAGTTTGTGGCCTCCGCAAAAAAGGCTCATAACAGTCTGTATTTCTGTTTGCTTTTCCATCTAAAGACTAACTTTACTCCACTTCACTGCCCAGATCTGCTGAGCTCAGATGTGAGCAGTGTGCTTGGCTGTGACTGCAGGCATCATGCTAGGCTGTAGGGACCCGTGGCTGGAGAGGGGCTCCGTCTTGCCCTCCGTCTGTTCTGTTGCCAGCACAGTGCTTGGCACACGTGGGCTCTCATCACGTATCTGTTGGATAATTAGATGAAAAAGGAGGAGGAAGAGGAACGTGTGCTGGAGATAAAGCGGCAGGAGTGGAGGAGGCGCAGGGGAAGAGAACAGATTTGGGAAAAACCAGTGGGACATGAGGATGCTGGGCAGGTGGGTAGAAGGTTGCCATGTGTTCAGAAGCACAGAAAAAGGGTGACTTCCAGGTCAAAAGTGATTTCAGGATGGGTGTGATGGCTCATGCCTGTAATCCCAGCACTTTGGGAAGCTGCCGGACGGATCACCTGAGGCCAGGAGTTACAGACTTGCCTGGCCAATATGGTAAAACCCTGTCTCTACTGAAAATACAAAAATTAGCAGGTGTGGTGGCAGGCACCTGTAATCCCAGCTACTCGGGAGGGCTGAGGCAGAAGAATCGCTTGAACCCAGCAGGTGAAGGTTGCAGTGAGCCAAGATTGCGCCACTGCACTCCAGCCTAGGCGGCAGAGTAAGACTGTCTCAAAAAAAAAAAAAAAAAAAAAAAAAAAATATATATATATATATATATAAACACACACACACATATATATACACACACATATATATACACATGTATACACACACATATATATATACACACACACATATATAAAGTGATTTCAGTTTTTTCACAACTTGATCACTGAGCAAGTGACTTAGACTGTGGTCATTTTCTGTTAACTCTTATCTGATCCAACTAGAAAGCAAAGCAAAACAAAAACCTGACTGCCTTCTACAGACAAGCCAATGTGAAGGTATTCAGCTCACACAGGTTGCAAAAGACAGAGAAACACCCAAGTTACCTCAGGGGATGGACATTCCCTAAGGATACACAGGTGAGTAAGGAAAATAGGAAATGGCTTCTGTAGGTCTCAAGAACTAGAGCACCATTCAGGATGCGATGGCCACACACAGTGTGGCCTGGCAGAGAGGAGGAAACTGCTCTCCATCATCAAGAATACAGCTCTAGGCCGGGTGTGGTTGCTCACGCCTGTAATTCCAGTACTTTGGGAGGCTGAGGAGGGTGGATCACCTGAGGTCAGGAGTTCGGGACTAGCCTGGTCAAAATGGTGAAACCTCGTCTCTACTAAAAATAAAAATAAAAAATTATCCGGGCGTAGTGGCGCATGCCTATAGACCCAGCTACTGAGGAGGCTGAGGCAGGAGAATTGCTTGAACCCAGGAGGCGGAGGTTGCAGTGAGCTGAGGTTGTGCCATTGCACTTCAGCCTGGGTGACAAGAGCAAAACTCTGCCTCAAAAATAAAGATAAAAATAAAAGCCGGGCGCTGTGGCTAACACCTGTAATCCTAGCACTTTGGGAGGCCGGGGTGGACAGATCACGAGGTCAAGAGATCGAGACTATCCTGGCCAACATGGTGAAACCCTGTCTCTACTAAAAATACAAAAATTAGCTGGGCATGGCAGCGCGTGCCTGTAGTCCCAGCTACTCAGGAGGCTGATGCAGGAGAATCGCTTGAACCCGGGAGGCGGAGGTTGCAGTAAGCCGAGATCATGCCACTGCACTCTAGCCTGGCAACAGAGCAAGACTCCATCTCAAAACAAAATAATAATAATAATAAATTAAAAAAGAAAATACAGAAATTTGGCTGGGTGCAGTGGCTCATGCCTGTAATCCCTGCACTTTGGGAGGCCGAGGTGGGCGGATCACTTGAGGTCAGGAGTTCGAGACCAGCCTGGTCAACATGGTGAAACCCTGTCTGTATTAAAAATATAAAAAAAATTAGCCAGGCCTGGTGGCAGGTGCCTGTAATCCCAGCTACTCAGGAGGCTGAGGCAGGAGAATTGCTTGAACCTGGAAGGTGGAGGTTGCAGTGAGCTGAGATCACGCCACTGCACTCCAGCCTGGGCAACAGAGCAAGATTCTATCTCAAAATAAATAAATAAATAAATAAATAAAAGAATACAGCTCTTCTAGTTCCCAGCCCCTCTGGGGTTCTTGTGTGAAAGAAAACATTTTAATGTGTCCTTTGATTACATGAAATTCAGGCAGAGTCTGATCAAAGAGATGCCCCATTGCTGAGCACAGTGAAGAGAAAGGATGTCTTCCTTGAGCAGAGAGGTGGTGAGAAATTTCCAGAATAGGGCACCTTGCATGGAGATTATTTTAGGAATGTCATCTCTGGTATGGAATTCTACTTGTCCCCTGTAGAATTCTGGGCTGGCCTACCCATGGTTCAAGCTTCCACTGAAGCTGTGTTGACCCCTAGTCCAGTGTCAGCTGGTAAAGGAAGGGAAGGGCTGAAGGAGCTGGACCCCCACAGGGAGGTGTTGAAAGAAAGGAGAAGCAAGAGGTGATATTGACCAGGGAAATGGCGCCACTTCCTGAGCCAGGGCCCTGGACTTCCTGTAGTTGTAGAAAAGTGCAGGCCTGAGTTATTTAACTATCAAAGAAAAAGTGATGCTCTGTGTGTGGGAAAAACAACACTCAATGTGCTTTTTCCTACTCTCTCACTCACAACAATCATTAACACAGAAGGCTTCTGTGACCAAATGTGAGGAGTTTTGTCTCTACACATCAAGCAAGCAATTAAATCTGCAGCAGACACCAGTTGGGTGTCTTCTAATCCAATTCTGACACTGTCTACCTAGAGGTAGCATCAGATCCCACAGGTTGAGGGCTCAGTCCCCAAGACTGCCCCCCGACCCACACTGGTCACAGGTTTGGCCTTGGGAACTTCTGACCCACCAGCTTCAAGTTGGGATTCCCACAACCCCCTCTTTGGGTTCAGTTAAATGAACACTTGCATTTACTGGTTTATTACAAAGGCTAGAGATGAAGAGATGCACAGGGAGAAGGGGCACAGAGCTTCCGAGTCCTCCCTGTGTGCAACACCTTCCAGGAACCTCCATGTGTTCAGCTCTCCAGAAGCTCTCTGAACCCCGTCCTCTTGGGCATTTATGGAGACTTCACTGGACAGGCATGACTGAAGCATGGACAACCATGTCAAAATGTGATTGAACAAAAAGGATATGATCTAATACTAACAGACAGACTGGGGAAACCCAGTGAGTCCTGTCCAGATTCTTCTTGGCCTCTCTGTGCAGCCTTTCTTCCTCCAGGATATGGGGCATCCTTTCTGAAATGGGAGTCTTATGACCTATAGTCAGACAAGGTAGGTCAAAGACAGAAAGATGGGCAAAGATTCCTGCCTTGGAGAGATAAAGGAGCAGATGAAATGAGGGCAGGAGAAGGTCAGAGAGATTCCGTTTATTGAGACCTGCTTCTGAGGCTTAAAGCACCCAACATTACAACAACAGATGGTAACAAGGGCAATGGGAATTATAAGCCAGGAACCATGGACTAAAACCTATATATAAATTATAATAGCACAGAATCCCAAAGGCTGGAAAACTTGTGGGCTTCCCTTTCACCATATAGAGCCACTGTTCTCTCCACAGTGCCTGCATATTCCTGTCTCTTTCTGTTGAATGACTTTTTTTTTGACACAGTCTCACTCTGTTGCCCAGGCTGGAGTGCAGTGGTGTGATCTTGGTTCACTGCAACCTCCACCTCTTGGGTTCAAGAGATTCTCCTGCCTCAATCTCCCAAGTAGCTGGGATTATAAGCTCCTGCCACCACGCCCGTCTAATTTTTTGTATTTTTGTAGAGACAGGGTTTCACCATGTTGGCCAGCCTGGTTTTGAACTCCTGACCTCAAGCGATTCACTCACCTTGGCCTCCCAAAGTGTTGGGATTACAGGCGTGAGCCACTGTGCCGAGCCTGTAGAATGACTTTAAATCTCCACCCTCTACCTATAGCAGCCCACTTCCTCCTCTCTCTTCAAATCTCCTTTTTCTCACTTTCTTCTCCATCTTCCTTGCCCTTTTAGAAGCAGAAAAGGGCATACCTTTTCTGTGATACCTTTTCTCTCCATCATGAAAGTCTCGGCCACGGTCCTCTAACAAAAGACAGGTTAATGAGAGAAAAACATTTATTGAATCCAAGTTTTATGTGTCACGGTGGCCTTTAGAATGAAGACCCACAGGGGCCGGATGTGGCGGCTCATGCCTGTAATCCCAGCAGTTTGGGAGGCCGAGGTGGGCAGATCACTTGAGGTCAGGAGTTCAAGACCAGCCTGTCCAATATGGTAAGATCCTGTCTCTACTAAAAAAAAAAAAAATTTAGCTGGGTGTGGTGGCATGCACCTGTAGTCCCAGCTACTCATGAGGCTGAGGCAGGAGAATTGCTTGAACACAGGAGGCAGAGGTTGCAGTGAGCTGAGATCACACTGCCACACTGCAGCCTGGGCGACAGAGCAAGACTCCGTCTCAAAAAAAAAAAAAAAAAAAAAGGAAAAAGAAAAGAATTAAGACCCACAGGGAAAATTCTCATTTTTTATGCTTAGAGTTGATGAAGAATGGATGGTCATGTGGAAGCATTATGGGACAGAAAGGGTATGATCTCCTGGAGGAATCCAGCAATGCCTGTCTGTCCGGATTCTTCTCGGCCTCTATGTTGTAGCATTTCTGCCAGCCAGGTATGGGACTGGACCCCTCTGGAATGAGGATCTTATTGTGTCCAGAAATGGTGGGTTCTTGGTTTCACTGACTTCAAGAACGAAGCCACAGACCCTCGCGGTGAGTGTTATAGCCCTTAAGGTGGCGCTTCTGGAGTCTGTCCTTTCTGATGTTCAGATGTGTTCGGAGTTTCTTCCTTCTGGTAGGTTCATGGTCTTGCTGGCTCAGGAGTGAAGCTGCAGATCTTCGCAGTAAGTGTTACAACTTATAAAAGCAGCATGGACCCAAAAAAGTGAACAGCAGCAAGACTTATTGCAAAGAGCAAAAGAACAAACCTTCCACAGTCTGGAAAGGGACCCAAGCGGGTTGCCAATGCTGGTTCGGGCAGCCTGCTTTTATTCTCTTATCTGGCCCCACCCACATCCTGCTGATTGGTAGAGCCGAGTGGCCTGTTTTGTCAGGGTGCTGATTGGTGCGTTTACAATCCTTGCGCTAGATACAAAGGTTCTCCACGTCCCCATCAGATTAGTTAGATACAGAGTTTGGACACACAGGTTCTCCAAGGCTCCACCAGAGCAACTAGATACAGAGTGTGGACTGGTGCACTCACAAGCCTTGAGCTAAACACAGGGTGCTGATTGGTGTATTTACAATCCCTGAGCTAGACATAAAGACTCTCCACATCCTCACCAGACTCAGGAGCCCAGCTGGCTTCACCTAGTGGACCCCACACTGGGGCTGCAGGTGGAGCTGCCTGCCAGTCCTGTGCCGTGTGCTTGCACTCCTCAGCCCTTGGGTGGTCGATGGGACTGGGCGTCGTGGAGCAGGGGGTGGTGCTCGTCGGGGAGGCTCGGGCCGCACAGGAGCCCTTTGAGTGGGTGGGAGGCTCAGGCATGGCGGGCTGCAGGTCCCGAGCCCTGCCCCGCGGGAAGGCAGCTAAGGCTCGGTGAGAAATCGAGCGCACCGCCGGTGGGCTGGCACTGCTGGGCGACCCAGTACACCCTCTGCAGCCACTGGCCCGGGTGCTAAGTCCCTCATTGCCCGGGGCCGGCAGGGCTGGCCGGCTGCTCTGAGTGCGGGGCCCTCCAAGCCCACGCCCACCCGGAACTCCCGCTGGCGCCCAAGCGCCGCTCGCAGCCCCGGTTCCCGCTCGCACCTCTCCCTCCACACCTCCCTGCAAGCTGAGGGAGTGGGCTCCAGCCTTGGCCAGCCCAGAAAGGGGTTCCCACAGTGCAGTGGTGGGCTGAAGGGCTCGTCAAATGCCGCCAAAGTGGGAGCCCAGGTAGAGGAGGTGGCAAGAGCAAGCGAGGGCTCTGAGGACTGCCAGCACGCTGTCACCTCTCATTATGGCCCACCATTAGACAAGCGTAGGTCAGACTATTTATTTATGGTCATGTCTTAGGAAGCAGTAGAAGAAATAATTCTAGTTTTTATGGCTGGCTTTGGGGAACAGGGGTTCTGGTTTCTATGACCTTAGGGAGGACTAATTCTGGCTTCTGTGGCTCACTTCAGGAGAGAATGAGGGGCGAGAGACAGGAGGGGCAGAAGGTCAGAGGGATCTTGGTTTCGAGGCTGCTTCTGAGTCTTCCCAATGTCCTTTAGTTCAAAGTATTCAGCATGCCAAAGTGCCACACTTTGGGGTATTGTTTTCTGAGCCCCAGTGTTTTCTTCCTCTCTTCTTCATTCTTTCTCAATCTCTTCTTCTTTTTTTAATTGAGATGGAGTCTCACTCTATCACCCAGGCTGGAGTGCAGTGGCGTAATCTCCGCTCACTGCAACCTCCGCCGCCGTCCGGGTTCAAGTGATTCTCGTGCCTCAGCCTCCCAAGTAGCTGGGACTACAGGCACATGCCACCATGCCTGGCTTTTTTTTTCTATTTTTAGTAGAGATGGGGTTTTGCCATGTTGGCCAGGCTGGTCTCGAATTCCTGACCCCAGGTGATCCGCCTGCCTTGGCCTCACGCCTGCTGGGATTATAGGCGTGAGCCACTGCATCCGGCCCCCAATCTCTTCTCAATCGCATTCATCAATATTTTTTTTTCTTCTTTTTTCATCCCATCACCTTGGGTCTCTCCTTGTCCGTCTCCCAGTCTTTCTTACTGTCAGCTAGCCCCTTGCTTTTCCCCTTCCTTTCTTTGCAACAGCTTCCTATCTCATTTGTTCAGCATAATAGAAGTGCAAACCGATGGCCTACTGCCTGAGTATCTGCTCTGCAGAAACATATAATTTGCTAAGAGAACGTTTATCCAAAATATTGTCTTCAGGAACTGGGAGCAGTGGCTCATGCGTGTAACTCCAGCACTTTGGGAGGCCGAGTTGGGAGGATTGCTTGAGCCCAGGAGTTTGGGACCAGCCTGGGCAACACAGTAGGACCCCGTCTTTATAAAAAATACAAAAATTAGCCAGGCATGATGCTACACACCTGTAGTCTGTAGTCAGCTTCTGGGGAGGCTGAGCTGGGAGGACTGCTTGAGCCCAGGAGGTCAAGGCTGTAGAAAACTTTGATTGTGCTACTGCACTCCAGCTTGGGTGACAGAGCAAGACCCTGGCTCCAAAAAAAAAGAAGAAAAAAAGTCTTCAATCTCAACAATTAAGAATTGGAGATTTCACATAAAAATCCAGATTTTATCCTGGGCAACATGGGCAACACAGTGAGACCCTGTCTTTACAAAAAATAATAAAAATCAGCTGGGTGTGGTGGTTCACACCTACAATTTAATTTGAGAGGCTGAGGAGGGAGGATTGTTTCAGCCCAGGAGTTCCAGGCTGCAGTGTTTTATGATAGTGCCATTGCACTCCAGACTGGGGTGAGACCCGGTCTCTAAACAGAAATCCCAGTTTTACAGCTTAAAAAAAAATCAGGCTATCTGGCATCATGCGACCTACACCGATTGCTAGTAACAGTTGATGGAGCTGGGCGGTGGCTGCCCCACTCTGTTCACCAGTGCCCACTCCATGCCTCCTGGCCTCCTTAACACTGAGGGAAAGTGCCAATTGGCATTTATTATTTAGCTTGAGTAGTTATTTTTTCCTCTAGCAGACAAATTTTAGTTTCTACCTATATCTTTACTGAAAAAAGGGAAAACAGAGAACAAGAGCCAGGTCTTTCTTATCCCAAGCCTGCTACCTCATTTGCATTTTCTGCTTTGCCCCTGCAGGTGGCTGAATTTTCAACCTTCGCTATAGACAAAGGCTCAGGTCTCCCTTCCCAATTTCTCACCGTGCCTCACTTCTCTTTTACTCTCTCCATATATCCTCGTTTCTCTTTTTGTTCATATAAGGTTAATATTTAGGCCGGGCACAGTGGCTCACGCCTGTAATCCCAGCACTTTGGGAGGCCAAAGCGGGTGGATCACTTGAGGTCAGGAGTTCGAGACCAGCCTGGCCAACATGGTGAAACACCATCTCTACTAAAAATACAAAAATATTAGCCAGGCATGGTGGTGCATGCCTGTAATCCTAGCTACTTGGGAGGCTGAGGCAGCAGAATCACTTGAACCCGGGAGACAGGAGTTGCAGTGAGCCGAGATGGCATCACTGCACTCCAGCCTGGGTGACGGAGTGAGACTCCATCTCAAAAAAAAAAAAAAGTTAATATTTAATGCATTGATGTAAAGCTAACTTCAGGACCACTTTTGAAACTTTTTTTCAGACTGTTTTGAAATCTTCAATCTTCAGAAAAAGTCTGTGAAAAATCATTTTATTTTCGCACTAGTGTGTGTGTTTGTGTGTGTGTGCACGCACATAGATGAGAGTAGTTACTCTGTGAAGGATCTGTTACTTATCTTGCTATTTTTCTTGTTTGACTAACAGCCTATTTATATGGATAAGATCTGAGAATCGGTTACTAGGCCGTATGAAAGAGGAGTCTTCTTTAGGATCATTATCAGTACAGGCCTGGCATTCACCTAACCAGTAATAGAAACCTGAAAAACAGTGGCATAAAAAATTGAGAGTTTAATTTTTCTGCATTTAGAATAAATCTAGAGGTGAGAGCAGGGATCCTAATAGCATAGCAATATTGGCAAGAACCTAGTGTAATTAACCATGTTTTCTAGTTTCTATATTCTGATACTTCCACATCGTGGGGTCTTGCTGACCCTGGAGTGACTGCCTCTCCCAGGTTGAGCTAATTCCTAGAAGCAAAGAACTCGCCTGTCATATGTAGATCAACCAAGCTAGACCCCATCCTCCCAACCACCACCTTCATCAGGCTCTGCCACTCCTAGCTGCAATTCCCCTAGTCAGCCCAGGACCAGTACTAGAGAGCTAGGGACAGCCCCTATGCCCCAGAGGCTGCTGAAATTATTCAAACTAGCCGAGCCTGAACTTGCTTACCTGCCTGCACACTCCTGCCTGTGAAACCACAATAAAGGCTCTTGCCCACATTTTCCTTTCACTCCCACTGCCTCCTGACTGACTCAGGTGCTTCCCCATGGGGCACCCCTGCACGCCATGCCATGCCTCATGCATGTTTCTAGGGAACTGTGAGTAAATGTCTTCCTCCATGAAAGTGATTCCTGTGTCTGCACGTCTTGCCACACCTGATTAAAACAAACCCTGGCTACCTTTACAACCCCCAGGTCCATCCAGCCTTCTGAGCCACCACCCTGACTTGATCGAGCATCAGGAATCTCATTTCTGGGCGGGGTGCAGTGGCTCACGCCTATAATCCCTACACTTTGGGAAGCCAAGGCTGGCAGATCACTTGAGGTCAGGAGTTTGAGACTAGCCCGGCCAACATAGTGAAATCCTGTCTCTACTAAAAAAAAAAAAAAAAAAAAAAATAGCTGGGTGTAGTGGCATATTCCTGTAACTCCAGCTACTTGGGAGGCTGAGGCACGAAAATCACTTGAACCTGGAGGTGGAGGCTGCAGTGAGCCGAGAATGTGCCCCTGCACTCCAGCCTGGGTGACAGAGTGAGACTCTGTCTCAAAACAAACAAACAAACAAACAAAAATAAAAAGAATCTCATTTCTGGGTGGTGTGGTGGCTCACACCTATAATCCCAGCCCCTTGTGAGGTTAGGATAGGAAGATCACTTGAGGCCAGGAGCTTGAGACCAGCCTGGGGAATGTAGCAAGACTCCGTCTCTACAAAAATAAAAAATAAAAAAAAAATTAGCCAGATGTAGTGGTATACACCTGTAGTCCCAGCTACTCAGGAGGCTGTGGCAGGAGGATCACTTGAGCCCAGGTGTTTGAGGTTACAGTGAGCTATGATCGCACCACTGCACTCTAGTGTGGGCAACAGAAGGAGATGGAGTGAGAGTGTCCCTAAAGATAATAAGAATCTCATTTCTTAATTTATTTTCCTTAACACTTACCATATTCTGAAATACTATATATTTGTTTGCTTATAATTTGTTTCCTCTCACTAGACTGTAAGCTCCTTGAAGCCAGAGATTTTTATCTGTTTTCTTTATGGTAAGTTCCTAGAACTGAAAACAGGGCCTGGCATGTATTTACTGAAAAAGTGATTAAGTGCTCTCCAGTTGATGGCTGGAGTTCAGACCATCATGGTTTTGTTTCAGGCTGGAGGAAGTGGGAGAGTAAAAGGCAAAGGGGGCCCATGCCAGTTGAGTCAGTCCTAGAAAAGAACTTTTCTGAAAGTCCCCTTTACATGACTTAGGCTAACATCTCATTGGCCAGCCCTATGCCACACCACCACTCCTACCTGCATGGCAGTTTGAGGCAAAAAAAAATTTAAAGCATAGAACTTTGCTAAACAAAATAAAATTGGGGTTCTGCTAGAAGAAGGAAGGGACAATGAACACTGGGTCTCTGCAAGGGGGCTGTTGGCTGCACTCCAAATGCCCGCAGCATTATACACGAATCATACATGGAGCTCTTTTTTTTTTTTTTTTTGAGGTGGAGTCTTACTCTGTTGCCCAAGTTGGAGTGCAGTGGTGTGATCTCGGCTCACTGCAAGCTCCACCTCCTGGATTCACACCATTCTCCTGCCTCAGCCTCCCGAGTAGCTGGGACTACAGGCGCCCACCACCCCCGGCTAATTTTTGTATTTTTAGTAGAGACGGGGTTTCACCATGTTAGCTAGGATGGTCTCGATCTCATGACCTTGTGATCCGCCCGCCTCGGCCTCCCAAAGTGCTGGGACCGCAGGCGTGAGCCACCGCGCCCAGCCCTACATGGAGCTCTTTACCCTGGCCTGTGCTTTCCTCTCTATTTACTTTTTTTTTTTTTTTCTTTCCTGAGAGGGAGTCTTGCTCTGTCGCCCAGGCTGGAGTGCAGTGGTGTGATCTTGGCTCACTGCAACCCCTGTCTCCTGGGTTCAAGCGATTCTCCTGCCTCAGCCTCCCATGTAGCTGGGATTGCAGGTGCCTGCCACCACACCCAGCTAATTTTTGTATTTTTAGTAGAGAACAGGGTTTCATCATGTTGGCCAGGCTGGTCTCAAACTCTCTACCTCAAGTGATCTGCTCGTCTTGGCCTCCCAAAGTGCTAGAATTACAGGCGTGAAGCCACCACGCCCGGTTTCCTCTCTATTTACTCTTGTGAGTAACATCAGCTTCTTTGAACTTCACCAAACTTAATTCCTTAATTCCATACTAACTGTTTATTTGTTGAGTTTCCAAGATGCAATTGCATATAATTCCAGGAACTGTGAGTAGTAAGAACCCCCTTATCAGCTGTCCTATTTTTAGATATCATGATTCCTACTGAAACATTCAGTGGCTTAAGCTCTGCCCAGCATGTTCTTGACCCTGTGTGCCTGTGGGGTGTGTGTGTGTGGTGTGTGTGTGTGTGTGTATGTGCACACAGTCATGTGCACTCTCACATCACATAAGGGGAAGATAAAGGGAGACTCTCCGTGGCTCTTCCTCCTTTTTTCCAAGGCTGATGTTGGCCCTTTCTGAAAATGCTTTAATGTGTAGAAAGCAGCCCACAGATAGGCACTCCCTGTGATAAAGCAGTCACAGCCAGAGCAGGGTCCCTCCCACCTCAGCCTCCTAAGTAGCTGAGACTACAGGTGTACCACCACGCTTAGGTAAGTTTAAAAAAAAAAGTTTTGTAGAGATGGGGGTCTTACTATGTTGCCCAGGCCGATCTCAAACTCCTGGCCTCAAGTGATCCTCCCACCTTGGCCTCTCAAAGTGCTGGGATTACAGATACGAGCCACCACACCTAGCTGAGAATTTCTTTATGGCCATCTTCTGGACAAAAAGTCAAGGAGAGTTTAGAGTAATAATTCCAGTTTTTATGGCTTTTGCTTCGGGGAAAAAGGGTTCTAGTTTCTAGGACCTACCGTGGGGAAGAGGATTCTGGTTTCTATGACTCACTTCAGGGGAGAACGAGGGACGAGAGAGACAGGAGGGCAGGAGCAGGTCAGAGGGACCTTGGATCTGAGGCTGCTTCTGAGGCCTTCCAATGTCCTTTAGTTAAGTACTCATCGCCATACTTTGGGGTATTGTGTTCTGAACCCCAACAGAAACAACTCACTCTCTCGGCATCAGCCTTGTGCCTATACCCACAGGAGCAGGAGCACAAGCCATTGCAGGTGCGGGCTCCTCAGATGGAGCAACTCCAATGTCACCTGCTCCTCACCTGTACCCAGTGGACTTTTTTGGCAGCCTCCCCCATCTTCTCGTGTGGCTCCATATCTTTATATCTTCTGTGGCAGACGTAGCCTGCTGCCTCCCCAAACTCTATCGTCCTCTTCTCCTTCAACCATGGAAACTTGATTTTGTCTGTGGCATCCATGTGCCTCTTTGAAACACTCACCTCCTCAGACTGCCTTGAATCCAGGGGTGGCCACATGACTGGGTAATGAGTCACCGGTAGAAGTCGGCTTGATGGGGCTTTTAGGGAAACAACGGCTTTCCTGTTTTTGTTTTTCTTCTTCTTCTTTTTAAATTTTCTCCTGCTACCCCTCCCCTTGTTTGTTTTTAAGATGGATTTGTTCGGAACACATCTTTTGCTCTTTCCTTCTCCTTTCTGCCTGGAATGTAAATGTGATGTCTGAAGGCAGAGCAACCATCTTGCACATGTGACATAGAAAGGTAGATGTGAAGACATCTAGCAGGAGATTGCATCTCTGGTGATTGGAGCAGCTGTATCAGCTCTGGACTGCCTGCTCAAGTCTTCTTCATAACTGGGAAAAATAAACACCTATGAAGTTAGGCCATTGTATTGAGTTTTTGTTACTCAAGAACCAAACACAATATTTATTGAGATGGCATTTCACTCTTATTGCCCAGGCTTGTGTGTGGTGGCCTGACCTCAGCTCACTACAACCTCTACCCCCCATCCAGCCCTGCTCCAGGTTCAAGCGATTCTCCTGCCTCAGCCTCCTGAGTAGCTGAGATTACAGGCGCCCACCACGTCTGGCTAATTTTTTTGTATTTTTAGTGGAGACGGGGTTTCACAATGTTGGCTAGGCTGGTCTTGAACTCCTGACCTCAGGTGATCCACCCTCCTCAGCCTCTCAAAGTGCTGGAATTACAAAGGTGAGCCACGGCACCCGGCCTTTTTTTTTTTTTGAGACAGTCTCGCTCTGTTGCCAGGCTGGGATGCAGTGTGGTGTGATCTTAGCTTGTGTCCGGAATTGGTGGGTTCTTGGTCTCACTGACTTCAAGAATGAAGCCACGGACCCTCACGGTGAGTGTTATAGCTCTTAAGGTGGCATGTCTGGAGTTTGTTCTTTCTGATGTTCAGATGTGTTCGGAGTTTCTTCCTTCTGGTGGGTTTGTGGTCTTACTGGCTTCAGGAATGAAGCTGCAGACCTTTGCAGTGAGTGTTACAGCTCACAAAAGCAATGTAGACTCAAAGACTGAGCAGTAGCAAGATTTATTGCAAAGAGCAAAAGAACAAAGCTTACACACTGTGGAAGGGGACCGGAGCAAGTTGCCACTGTTGGCTGGGGCAGCCTGCTTTTATTCTCTTATCTGGCCACACCCACATCCTGCTGATTGGTAGAGCCGAGTGGCCTGTTTTGACAGGGTGCTGATTGGTGCGTTTACAATCCCTGAGCTACATACAAAGGTTCTCCACGTCCCCATCAGATTAGTTAGATACAGAGTATGGACACACGGGTTCTCCAAGGCCCCACCAGAGCAGCTAGATACAGAGTGTCGATTGGTGCACTCACAAACCCTGAGCTAGACACAGGGTGCTGATTGGCGTGTTTACAAACCTTGAGTTAGATACAGAGTGCCGATTGGTGTATTTACAATCCCTGAGCTAAATGTAAAGGTTCTCCAAGGCCCCACCAGAGCAGCTAGATACAGAGTGTCGATTGGTGCACTCACAAACCCTGAGCTAGACACAGGGTGCTGATTGGCGTGTTTACAAACCTTGAGTTAGATACAGAGTGCCGATTGGTGTATTTACAATCCCTGAGCTAGACATAAAGGTTCTCCAAGGGCCCACTAGAGCAGCTAGGTAGAGTGTCAATTGGGGCACTCACAAACCCTGAGCTAGACACAGGGTGCTGATTGGTGTGTTTACAAACCTTGAGCTAGATACAGAGTGCCGATTGGTGTATTTACAATCCCTGAGCTAGACATAAAGACTCTCCACGTCCCCACCAGACTCAGGAGCCCAGCTGGCTTCACCCAGTGGATCCAGCACCGGGGCTGCAGGTGGAGCTGCCTGCCAGTCCTGGGCCATGCGCTCACACTCCTTAGCCCTTGGGCGGTCGATGGGACTGGGGGCCCTGGAGCAGGGGGCGGCGCTCGTCGGGGAGGCTTGGGCCGCACAGGAGCCCACGGAGGGGGTGGGAGGCTCAGGCATGGCGGGCTGCAGGTCCCGAGCCCTGCCCCGTGCGAAGGCAGCTAAGGCCTGGCGAGAAATCGAGCGCACCGCCGGTGGGCCGGCACTGCTGGGGGACCTAGTACACCCTCCGCAGCCGCTGGCCCGGGTGCTAAGCCCCTCACTGCCTGGGGCTGGCAGGGCCGGCCGGCTGCTCCGAGTGCGGGGCCCGCCAAGCCCACGCCCACCCGGAACTCCAGCTGGCCCGCAAGCACTGCACGCAGCCCCGGTTCCGCTCGCGCCTCTCCCTCCACACCTCCCTGCAAGCTGAGGGAGCCGGCTCTGGCCTTGGCCAGCCCAGAAAGGGGCTCCCATAGTGCAGCGGTGGGCTGAAGGGCTCCTCAAATGCCGCCAAAGTGGGAGCCCAGGCAGAGGAGGCGCCCAGAGCGAGTGAGAGCTGTGAGGACTGCTAGCAGGCTGTCACCTCTCAAGCTCACTGCAACCTCTGCCTCCCAGGTTCAAGTGATTCTCCTGCCTCAGCCTCCTGAGTAGGTAGGATTACAGGCGTGTGCCACCACACCCGGCTAATTTTTGTACTTTTAGTGGAGACAGGGTTTCACCATGTTCGCCAGGCTGGTCTCAAACTCCTGACTTCAGGTGATTCACCCACCTTGGCCTCCCAAAATGCTGGGATTACAGGCATCAGCCACTGCTCCTGGCCTCTGTGTAGTTTTGTTTGGAGCTGCAGTAAATAGTGTCTAATCTTTTCCTTCCTTACAGGCTATTTCTCCATATTGCTTCCCAGATACAAAATTCATAAATGTATACAAGCCATACCCATGTTACCCACTCCCTCAGGCCCTGCCAAGGCCTTGAGAAACTAGACTCAGACTGTGTCTCCATGTAGGGGGATTGCACATAGCATCTTTGAACTTCAGTTTCTCTTTCTGTAAAATGGGGAATTTTGACTACTTAGCATGCGTCATGTGTTAAAACCCTAACCTCGTTAGCAATTATAACCACTATCAGTATCCCATACTCTGGTTTTTTTAGGGCTTTCCCAAGGCAAATGGGAAGATTTGCTGCCAAGCTCACTTCGGGAGGTCACCAGGCCCAGAACATTCTTGTCCTCACAAATTTTCACTTCCTTCATTTAAGAACAAGGACTAGAGTGTTCTCACTTAATTACAACTGGGATAGGTGGGAGGGAGTTACCCATGTGGGCAACATTAGGGAAACTTTTTCTTTGAGACAGGGTCTTGCTCTGTTGCCCAGGCTGGAGTACAGTGGTGTGATCATGGCTCACTGCAGCCTCGACTTCCTGGGCTCAAGCAATCCTCCTGTCTTAGCCTCCTAAGTTCTGACAGCCCTTAGGGACTACAGGCGCACACCACCACACCCCATTCATTTTTGCATTTCTTGTGGAGATGCGTTTTTTCCATGTTTCTCAGGCTGGTCTTGAATTCCTGGGCTCAAGAGATCCTTAGGGAAACATTCTACCAAACCAGAAGTGATGGATCAACTCCCAGCAAGCCTTTAGTGGGCATTGTTCTTTTCAGGGAGCTGGATAGAAGAGGGGTCTCGGAGCCACAACACCCGTGCTGCCCATGATGGTAGAAAAGGGAAGTCTAAAAAGAGTTTGGGTCTGAACTGGGGCCTAGGAAAAGTTAATGGGGCAGTGATTTTGGCCTTTTCTACCCACCTCCTTGTAATAATATTATTTTAACAATCTGGCTGGGTATGTGGCTCATACCTATAATCCCAGCACTTTGGGAGGCCAAGGTGAATGGATCACCTGAGGTCAGGAGTTCAAGACCAGACTGGCCAACATGGTGAAACCCTGTCTCTACTAAAAATACAAAAATCATTCGGCCGAGGTGGTGGTTGCCTGTAATCCAAGCTACTCGGGAGGCTGAGGCAGGAGAATCGCTTGAACCTGGGAGGCGGAGGTTGCAGTGAGCTGAGATTGCGCCACTACCCTCCAGCCTGGGTGACAGAGGGAGACTCCTTCTCCAAAGAAAAAACCTAACCGCCCCCCCCAAAAAAAACCAATCAAACAAAAAACCAATCTTACCCCCATGACGTTGCCTCTCTCTAGCCTCCCAGGGTATTTCTGTAGTCTCAATATTTGGCCTTAGCTATAAGAAAATTTCCTTACCATTACTCTTTGTTTATTGTGCAATTCTCTGAAGATATTCTTCTGATGGCATTCTTTCCTCTCCATTCCTTGTGTGTCATCATTATTTCTTGCTTATTCCTGTCTTGTGCTTACTTCCTGAAATCTGATCTATCCTTTAGGCCTATCTCAGAAGCCTTTATGAAGCCAGCCTGCACGGAGACACTTTCCTTCTCTGGAACCCATGGCACTTAGCTGCTATGGCTTTTGTGCTCATCAGCAAACTGGAATGCGCTTCCATTAGACTTATCCTTTCACCTTAGATTCCTTAAGGCAGGAACTGTCCTGTACTTAGCCTTGCTCTTGTCATGTTGTATTTACTTGATAATTATTCCTTGAATTTAACTGGAAATTCCGGTTTGGAAGGAGAGGACATATATACACGAAGCATGGTATATTTAAATAAACTGGAGTTAATTTTCCTTCAGAAATACCTCCTATTTAAGCCTTTGCCACACAGGTATAGGCCTGGAAATAAAAGGTGTGGCTAAAAGCTACCTGCTCAGAGAACTCTTTTTTTGTTGTTGTTGTTTTGAGATGGAGTCTCGCTCTGTCGCTAGGCCGGAGTGCAGTGGCGCAATCTTGGCTCACTGCAACCTCCGTCTCCCGGGTTCAAGCGATTCTCCTGCCTCAGCCTCCCGAGTAGCTGGGACTACAGACATGCGCCACCACGCCCGGCTAAATTTTTGTGTTTTAATAGAGACGGGGTTTCACCCTGTTGGCCAGGCTGGTCTCAATCTCCTGACCTCGTGATCCGCCCGCCTCGGCCTCCCAAAGTACTGGGATTACAGGCGTGAGCCACCGTGCCCAGCCCAGATAACTCTTTTCTTCAGATTTTCTTTACAGATTCTTCAAGCTGTAAAATAAATGAATACCATCTCTCATCACCTATACCTAGGAAGTGCTGAGTAACTCTTTCCTGTGGACCCACTGAGTCAGAGGTTCACATCTGGTTGGGCAAGTAGTGGGTGTGATCAGTGATGAATATTCTTTGGTTTCAGCACCAGCATCAGCTATTTATATGTCAGTGATGCAAATCTCCATATGCAGAGTCCTTGATACTGTTCGGAGTGCTTCCATACCCATGCCCAAACTGGACCCAGCGGGGGTGGCTGCCGAGAAAAGAAACTTGACAGAGCAGGTTCAAAGGGTCCCTGGTTTCTTGCACTGGAAGAATTAGGGTGGGAACACAGTGGGAGAAGAGAGGTGGAATGTCACAGTTCTGACAGCCCTTAGCATGGAGATAGCCAGCAGCCAATTAGATATGGGAATCGGAAGCCTAGCAGAGAGGATAGCTGGAGAGTACATTTCAAAGTCACTGCCATATAAACAGGAATTAAAACCCTGATAGTGGGTGGGATCGCCTGGGAGAGTACGGAGGAAGAGGAGGATGGATTCAGAATGGAGTCCCAGTGCTTGGGTAGTGCATGGAGGACAGGACCCCTGAACAGGCCGGCAAAGTGTGGGTAGAGAGGTCAAGGAGAGAGAGGAGAAGTTACTGTAGAAATCGATAACTTCAACAAATGAGAGAGAGGTCAGCTGTAAGGTAAGAACCAAGAAGGGCCCACTGGATTTGGCGTGGAGCAAAGGGATGGAGTGAGTGGAGTAAAAGCGAAGATGGAAGGTGGATTTCAGTGGTGCCAGAGGGGAATGGTAGTAAGGAGAGCGTAGTGGACATGGAGATGTGCTGCTCAGATCTCCCCCAAGGAAGGACTTGTTGCCCAGCTATGGGAGAGCAGTCAGCAGACAGCCTCCAGCCATCAGCTCCTTCAGGGTCCCCTGGCTGCAAAGAGCTGCCTGGTCCCTCTTCCTGGTCACACCCTTTCTCCTGGCAGCTCCATGTGGTGACTAAGCAGGGCTGGATATAAATGTCTGGCTCTTTCAGTTCAACTTGCTTTGCTTTGATAGACAATACTGCCCCAAGCTCTCTGCAGAGTTATGAGAGGTGTGGTTGGGCCTGCAGCTCAGTTTAACTTCTCCCTCTGCCCACTCCTGCTTCCTTGCCCTTATTCACAGGTGTTAATACCTAATTAACATCTTGCATCCCAACTTTATCTCAGTATCTGTTTCCAGAGAACATGGTCTCCAACAGAATCATGGGAACAAGTCTTCTGAAGAGTTTGAGAGCAGGAGTCGAGGGACGGGAAGGAGGTGTTAAAAAATTAGTAGGGAATGGTGACACGCCTATAGTCCTAGCTATTGGGAGGCTAAGGTGAAAGGATCACTTGAGCTTAGGGGTGACTATACTCAGCTCTTCTCGGGGCTCACGAAACACTTTACAAAACATCTTTCTGTATCTCATTTGAGGGTTTTTGCCTACAGTCATTGCCAAGGCCACTTATCTGTAGTTTTCTTTTCTTTTTTATTTTTGAGACAGAGTCTCGCTTTGTCACCCAGGCTGGAGTACAGTGGCCTGATCTTGGCTCACTGCAAGCCTTGACTTCCTGGGCTCAAGTGATCCTCCTGCCTCAGTCCCCCAAGTAGCTGGGACTACAGGTGTGCACCACCACACCTGGCTAATTTTTTTTTTTTTCTTGAGATGGAGTTTTTGCTCTTGTTGCCCAGGCTGGAGTGTGATGGCACGATCTCGGCTCACTGCAGACTCCACCATCCAGGTTCAAGCAATTCTCCTGCCTCAGCCTCCCGAGTAGCTGGGATTACAGGCATGCGCCACCACACCTGGCTAATTTTGTATTTTTAGTAGAGACAGGGTTTCTCCATGTTGGTCAGGCTGGTCTCGAACTGCTGACCTCAGGTGATATGCCTGCCGCGGCCTCCCAAAGTGTTGGGATTACAGGCGTGAGCCACCGTGCCCAGCTAATTTTTGTATTTTTTGTAGAGATGGGGTTTTGCCCAGGCTCATCTCAAACTCCTGAACTCAAGTAATCCACCTGCCTCAGCCTCCCAAAGTGCTAGGATTACAGGCGTGAGCCCCCACACCTGGCCTGATCTGTGCTTTTCAACATTCATCTTTTTTTCCATCTTTGGGAATCAGAGCCACACAATCTCCAACTTCTAATACCTTTCTGCCTCTTTGTGATTTCTCAGAGATCGTTGATAGTGACTTGGAGATACTCTCAGTTAATTTTTATTTTGGTACTTAGGAATGTAATCCATTCAGACCAGGAGGTTTGAACACATTTGGAGCAGCTACTCTTGCTGTTATTATTATTTTTTTCAGGTGTTATGGTGATTCCCACTTAGCAGTGGCCGTTCTGCTGTTTCCTAGTCAAATTCCATGCTGCTTACTGATAAGCTGGGGGCACTGGCTTCTGCTCTTGCTCTTTCTTCTGGAAACATTATTCTGTTCCTTTGGACATGGGCAAGGGTCCTGTCCCTAACTTGTCCTTCTTTTTCTTTTGATCTTAACCAGTTTCACTTGTACCAAGACCAAACTTTCTTACCTTTCCATGCAGGGAAACAGGCACCATCAAGATCAATGCCCTGGTACTCCTTATGTAGTGAGTGATAGATGCTCACGGAAAATGGGGAGAAAACTAAGGGGTGAAAGGGAATAACTCTAAAAAGGACACGTTCACACTTTCTGACAGCATAGTTGCATGTTTTCAATTTATTTTGGCCACCAGATGGCATAACTGGGCTCATTAAGATAAACAAAGAGAATGGCTACTACTCTGAAAAAACAAAAAAAAAAACTCTAGATAATTAATGGTGAAAATGCCCCTGAGAAAGCTCATTTCTAATTCTTACTCCTAGCTGGCTTTTTATACACAGGCAGGGGAGACCCATCTTTGGAATTTTAAGGTTCAAAAAGGAATTTGTCTGTACCTGATGGCCAGAAAACCACACTGAAATCGTCAACTGGCATTTAGAATTGTCTGTTCTAAGAGTTAGAAATGAGCGTGTCTCTACCTGCTTCTAGCACACACCTTCCTTTGAGGTAAACTCCTTACTGTTGAGCCCTTGAATCTCGGAGTGGATGAAGAGGGTGATGAGGGATTGTAGCTAATATTAGCATTGTTGAGCTAAAATACCATCATATTTTGTCAGGAGAAGTGCTGACTGTCCTGTGGAATCTGAGGATGAGTGGCATTGGTCCCTAAGGATTAGCTTGTCCCTTTCGGTTACTTTTGAATATGATTTGGAACTTGTGGGGTTTGGGTTATGACAAGAAGGGAACTGAGAAAGTAAAAACATTCATTGCTTGTTTTGTGCTTCTACATATTTTTGACTCTGGGAGATTTTAAAGGTCTATTTCTAATATTTGTTCTAGGTGCATAGATTTGTTTATTCAACAAGCATTCCAGGCACCATATAGGGGCTGGGAAGAAAGAGTAAATAAGGCAGAGTTCCAACTTTCAAAGAGCTTTCTAATCTTGGTTTTTAGTCCCACAGGGGCAAGATGGGAATGCCATGAGAGGCTCTTTGATTGTGGCCCAAGGGAACACTCAGTGCCTAGATGTGTGAAGTGGGATGCAGCTCCTGGTGAAGGCAGAAGTCCTTTAAAAGTTTATTGACTGCAAAGAATAAACCAAAATGGGCCGGGTGCAGTGGTTCACGCCTGTAATCACAGCACTTTGAGAGGCCAAGGCAGGCGGTTCATGAGGTCAGGAGTTCAAGACCAGCCTGGTCAACATGGTGAAACCCCGTCTCTACTAAAAATACAAAAATTAGCTGGGCATGGTGGCGGGTGCCTGTAATCCCAGCTACTTGGGAGGCTGAGGCAGGAGAATCGCTTGAACTCGGGAGGCAGAGGTTGCAGCGAGCCGAGATGGCACCACTGCACTCCAGCCTGAGTGACAGAGTAAGACTCCATCTCAAAAAAAAAAAAGAATAAACCAAAATGACAAAGCTTCTTGATAACATCCCAGCCCATTTCTTCTTCTTCTTCTTTCACTTCTCCTTCTCCTTCTTCTTCTTCTTCCTCTTCCCCTTCTTCTTCTTCTCCTCCTTCTCCTTCTTTTTTTTTGGAGATGGAGTCTTGCTCTCTTGCCCAGGCTGGAGTGCAGTGGTGTGAGCCACCCCGCCCAGCCATCCCAGCCCATTTCTTATACAAGAAACATTGAGGGTTTACTAAAGAAAGAAAGAGACAGTAGAATAATGGGAACCACGTTGCAAAAATGTAAATCGCTCACTGGTGACTGCCAGGATTTTGATGATCTAATAAAATGACTGGCATATGAGGTGGGGAAAATGTACCCTCCTGTGATCAGCCAGAGGTTTCAGCAGCAGTGGAAGATGCATACCAGAAGGCGGTGCAAAGGGGGATTAGAGAGGATCTAAACTGGTATCAGGGATTGGGTGTGGTGGCTCACATCTGTTATCCCAGCACTTTGGGAGGCCAACATGCGAGAATTGCTTGAGCCAGGAGTTTGAGACCAGCCTAGGCAACATAGTGAGACCTCATCTCTGCAAAAGTTTTAAACAATTAGCCAGACATGGTGGTGCATGCCTGTAGTCCCAGCTACTCAGGAGGTTGAGGTGGGAGGATCACTCAAGCCCAGGAGACGGAAGCTGCAGTGACCCATAATCACGCCACTGCATACCAGCCTGGGCAGCAGAGCAAGATCCTGTCTCAAAAAAGAAAAAAAAACACAAAAACTGGTGTCGGGAAAAGTAGTTGGGAAGCTATGGAAATTGCTCCAGTGAGAGGTGATGAACATCTGAATTAGTGGCAGGAGTCTCTCTGAACCTATTCAGTTTCAGGGGATTGCTTGATTTAAAAAAAAAAAAAAGACAAATTAGCCGGGCGTGGTGGTGGATGCCTGTAATCCCAACTACTTGGGAGGCTGAGGCAGGAGAATCACTTGAACCCGGGAAGCGGAGGTTGCAGTGAGCCAAGATGGCACCATTGCACTCCAGGCTGGGTGACAGTGCGAGACTCCATCTCGAAAAAAAAAAAAAAAAAAAGGCAGTGGTTAAGGGACTGAGTGGGGACAGATGGGAGATGGATTTTAGGGTAGGAAGGGTGGATGTAAGTGTGAAGGAGAGGAAGAATGACTCTGGAGAGAACACCAGCTCCAGTGGCCTGACCCTAAGTCCTGTGTGCTTTCTCGCATATTGTGCTGCCTCGTCATATAACGAAGATTCCACTTTAGTCCAACTCTTCCATTTTACAGTGAAAGGAGAAGATTAAAACCCAGAAAATGGAAACCCTCATTTATGTTAAAGCTGAGAAATCAAGTGTCCCTTCCCTGATCCAATCCTCTTCCGCAGGTTCATGACAGGGTGCACATTAGAACTACCTGCAGAGCCTTCCAAGCGGCACGTGCCTGGCCCATCCCTAGATCCAGTGAACCAGAATCCCTGGGCTGGGACCACTGGCTCATTCCAGACAGTGCACAAGCATCTCTTCCTGGTGCAACCTTCCATAGCACGTTCCGCTTGGATCACTTTCTCTTTCTCTGTTTTATAATTGTCCATTACATACAGCCACTGATAACTGAAAAGGCTCGCAGTGTTTGGATGAGGAACCATATGCAAACAAATACCACAGTTCTTCCTTATAGACCCACTTAACTGATTTGCAAACATCTCACTGAAACCGCAGGGGAGAGGTTTTAGAAGGCTATGCTCCAGTAAGGAAAAATTAATGGAAGTAATTGTTCAGTAAGCAGTTACCAATCTAAGTTTTATAAAATTGATACTCTCTTTATGAGTGTATTTTAGTAAAAATAGGGAATAGCTTTTTTTTTTTTGAGACGGAGTCTCGCTTTGTCACCCAGGCTGGAGTGCAATGGCGCCATCTCGGCTCACTGCAACCTCTGCCTCCCAGGTTCAAGCGATTCTCCTGCCTCAGCCTCCGATTACAGGCGCCCGCCACCATGCCTTGCTAATTTTTGTATTTTATAGTAGAGACGGGGTTTTGCCATGTTGGCCAGGCTGGTCTCGAACTCCTGACCTCAAGTGATCTGCCTGCCTTGGCCTCCCAGAGTGCTGGGATTAGAGGCGTGAGCCACCGTGCCTGGCTGGGAATAGTTTTAAAACATAAAAAACGCAAAAGTTTTAAAAAACATGGGTTTTCTAAAGATTTCAGTATTCCCTATCCCTAACTTTTCATAAAGTCCTGAGTTTCTTAATCACAATGTTTTCATCCAAGGAGGCTTTTAGGAACAGGACCCCAGGGTTAGGGCAGGAATACACTATTGTTATTTTAACAGTCTATCAACTAGAAAGGCAAAAAAAAAATTAGATTTTTTTCAATATTAATGAAGTTGAATTGTTCGTTGATAATTGTTAATTAGTTATGGTGTTTCTGTTATAAATTGTCTGTGTCTGAATTTCTCACACAGTACAATATAAAATACAAATAGCTGTGGGGTATTTTCTAGGTGCTGGTTACTGTTCTAAGAGCTTTAAATGGAGTAATTCAGTTAATCCTGCCTCACGGTACAATAATTAGTCTCGTATGACGGAGGAAATAGAAGCCTGGAGAGGTCAAGTAACTTGCCCAAAGTCATACCCAGAAAGGCTGGATTCAGAGACTGTTGCCAACATTTTCCTTATTTATTTGCATTCCATTTTTTTCTATTAAATATAAAAATTAGCCAGGCGCAGTGGCTCACACCTGTAATCCCAGCACATTGGGAGGCCGAGGAGGGTGGATCACTTGAGGTCAGGAGTTCAAGACCAGCCTGGCCAACATAGTGAAACCCTGTCTCTACTAAAAATACAAAAAATCAGCTGGACATGATGGCCTGTGCCTGTAGTTCCAGGTACTCAGGAACTCGAGAGGCTGAGGCAGGAGAATCGCTTGAATGTGGGAGGTGGAGTTTGCAGTGAGCCAAGATTGTGCCATTGCACTCCAGCCTGGGTGACAGAGCGAGACTTTGTCTCAAAAGAAAAAAAAAAAAATTTAAAAACTTTTTGTAGTTAAATCTATGCATATATTCCTTTCTTTTGTTGGCCTATTGTTTCAGTTAATTTGTTTTTTTACTTTTTTCCCATGTTTTACTTATTACTTTCATATTTCTTGTATGATATTTATCTTAAAATCTAGTTTTATTTTTCTTTAAGAGACTGGGAGTCTTGCTATGTTTCTCAGGCGGGTCTCGAATTTCTGGGCATAAGCGATCTTCCTGCCTCAGCCTCTCAAGTAGCTGGGAATTACGCCACCAACACACCTGGCTTCTTTCAGCTAATTTAGAACATCCTACCCTTTTCAGAGATTAAAAAATATTTAGATTTGCTCAGGATATGTTAGATGAAGTGAGGATTTACATCTACTATATGTATTTTCCCAAATATTAATAATTATTTCTCCTGAACCATTTATTGCATAATATTTTTCTGTTCCATTGTTATATGACAGCACGTTTCTGCCTGGTTGTAATCTCATAGTGGCTTGATTTTTAAGTGAACATTATATGTTTAACTGCCTCCTTGAGGATACTGAAGACTCTTTCCAATGATTATATTCTTTTCACTTCACCTGTCATGCATCAAGTGTTGATGTTGCTGGCTGCCTTTCTCAGTGTTAGTTTTTATGTGTTTTGGAATTTCAGCTTCCAGGTTCATTTCCAGGCTTTCTCTGTCTCCCTTCTCTTGTTCCTCACTCCTCCCTGCCTAGTGGCTGTGCAGTTGCCCTTCCCAGGGGCCAGTGTTCAGGACTAGGTCTTATATGGCAGTCGGGGCTCCTGCCCTGGGATAACCCTGGGAATGACTCACATCCAGCCCCATGGCTGTGGGTGGCTCAGTTAAGCCCAGGTGTGGTGCCGTTTGGTAACCACGGGCCTCCCTAGGCCACAGTCCCAGGCGAAGTTAGTAGCAAGCTATTTCAGTCTTCTTGAAGAGGGTGGAAGTGTGGGCAAGAGGGGAATCTGAGTCCCTAATATTTTCACAGTGACCATGACACTGGTCCCCCACCTCAGTGGGCAATTTAATTCTATCTCACCACTCAGTACTCAACAGGACTTGACTTCCCAGCTGCCTTTAACTGTACCCTGAGTCAGAACCCAACAGGCCACAGCTGTAGCCCTGTTCATCTTTTGCATTTATATTCAGTTTCTGGGAATATCTTTGGGGATATTCTCCCTTTGTGGAGCATTGCTTTTTAATTTTCTCTAATATTATATCTATCATTGCTCTGTATTGAAAGCCCCTGGGCTAGCCTGTTTCACTTGTGTCTATTTTTTAGAAGCATTTACTGTAGCTTTATACTACATATTTGGGGATCACTAACAATTTTTTCCGGTCACACTCTAATCACTTTCTCAAGGCTGGATCAGGTGCGAGACTCTGTAGCAGTAACCTGAAGTTGAGAATTGAGGAAGTAGTGCTGCTATGAGAGGAGACCTGCGGTGGCATCCCTAGGATGGGGTGCTGGTGGGGGGTGGGTGGCAAGGGGGAAAGGGGGTTTCTGCCTAAGGGAGTTTCTGCTCCATGCCAGCACTTCATCAGAGGTCTTGAGCCAGGGTGGAATCCAGCTCCAGGGAGCATATGAGAGCAAACAATGGAAGCTTGACATGATCACTGGATGAACATCTGAAGTTTCATATGTGATGGGATCTCCCCAGAAAACAATAGTGCACATCACAGCCAGGAGGCACCCAGAGCATTGTGTTGCTGTGTTTTTTGAACCCAGTGAGTTAACTGTCCAGTGTTCCACATCATTCTGACCTGGGTCAACAGATGGAGGCAGGGCACACTCTTGGCTGTAGCTCGATCCGCCTCTCCTGCTGCAGCAGGACATTTCTCAGTAGCACAGGCAAGGTGCTCCGGGCAGGGGACTGCATAGTAAGTGGTGCCTCCTTTGCAATATAAGCCAAACAAGGCTTCCTGCTGGAGCGCCTCTTGGCTAATTCAGGGGCATGAGAGGCAGCATCTAACCTTGCCCAGGGGCCCTGGCTCCCCTTTACTATGGGGGGTGGCCTGTGATCAGGCCCAGTGGGACTGAGGAGCAAATGTGGACAGTCTTCCCCGGCACACATCGGCTGACCTGCATGCCCAGACTGTCTCCTGGGGCGCCTGTACAAGTTGGTCCTAGAATCCAATTCTTCCTGGAACTGGGTGTCATTTCAGGACAGAGAATACCGGGAGTCATAAATTGGCCCTGAAGCAAACGAAAGTCTTCCAATCCTGCATGACATAGCAGATTGTTTTGCTTGGGGCTTTGGCTTGGTCTGGGGCGTGCAGTTCCATGGGGGAACCTCTGGCAATCCCACCAGGGGGAGCCCTTTCCCCATCTTGGGGCTGTGGATCTCAGCTTTCCAGAATATTTGTGTGCATGTGAGTGAGCACATCTGACTTAATTTTTATATTCAGTATAGAATCATGACTCAGCTTTCCCTGTTAATGTAGTCAACTTAAGCTACTGCCATGGTTCAGGTTCCATCATGCTTCAAATATAGTTTATGACTGTAGTTACGTAGTGTGGCAGCAACACAGGGCAACTTGGGGCTGGGGAGAAGTGAGCGTGTCTTTCCCTCCCCAAATGCAGTCATTTAGCATCTTCCTCTTTCAGAGTCCTGTATCCCAGCGATGGGGATCAAGATTCAGACTTAAGGACACCCTACCTGGACCTTGGCAAGGAGATTTTTACAGTGGGAATCTGGTCCAGCCTCTCTCTGGCCCCAGGCCTCTACTGTCCACCTTTTACAAATGCCACATGGTAAGGAGTCAACTGAGCTACCTTCCAAGGAGCTGGATTGGTCTCCTGGCTCTGCCTGACCTTCCTCAGCCCCTCCGCAACCCCCACCTGCTCGCTTCTCCTTCACCTCCTCTCCTGTTCACCTGTACCTTCTTTCCTTAGATGTGGCCACACTCTGTTCCCCCAGGCAGCGTCTTCACTGAGTAGTCTTTGAACCATTAACCACCTGCAGCCCTATCCATGTTCTCTAGGGCACCTGCAAGAGGAGGAAGGGGAATTTGCTGATAGCCACAGCTGTGCATCCTACTGGAGGTGCCTTCCGGAGGGCAGCATAGTTAATCTAGACACCCAGCATTCTCAGTCCACTTCCATGGCCTTCTCTTCCCATTGCCTGGGTCTCAAAAGGCCCAGGACAATCTCATGAGGTGGACCGAGCAGTATTTGGGGAGGGAGGATAGAAAAGAGACTGGGATATCTTTAATTAATAGATACTATTAAAACCTCCTCCCCAGCAGCAGTAGTAGGGATCGTTAGTGGCAGCAAATCCATAGGGGTCTGCAGCAACCTCAATTCTTGCCTCTTTGGTCACTTACTGGGATCTTATTGGGAAACTGCTGATCACCAGTTTCAGATGTTTCTATTGGGAGACTGCCTGTCTCTGGTGCCAGCTGTGACCAATTATTTTAGAGAGCCCGTTAACAACTGCCTGACCCTCACCTGATGTTTGCCTGACATTCCTGTGGGTGTGTGTCTGGGGCGCCCTCTCCTGCCCTGCTCATCCCTGACTAGCTACTTACTCTAACAGGATGAGAAGACATACAAAATAGAGGCTACTTTAAAAAAAAAATTCTCAGAGTGTAGTGTGTAAACGTTCACCTCCACTATAAAGACCTCCTTGCCAGGGGTAGGAAGCCTTTAGTCTGAACCTTGAGCTCCGTCGCTGGGATACAGGACTCTGAAGAGGAAGACGCTAATGATGACATTGAGTTGACTCCACAGCATCTCACAATTCTTTCTTTTTCTAAGTCATCTGCATTTAGTATCCACTGACCAAGCAGGCAGGAAATGTAATTGAAGTTTTATTAGGGACTCCCCTATCTCTTCTCCTATGGGGTCCAGTGACCATCCCAGGGGTCTGACCCAGCCTAGAACATTCAGAGTCTGGGCCTCTGACCTTCAGACACAGCTGATATGAATGGGAGTCTTTGTGGTTAGTAAGGCCAAGGTTCTTAGCTAGTTTCCTTTGGAATCCCTGACCTCCCTCCATCCCCACTGTTGTGTGTGGGGTTCTATGTGGGAGCAGGGCTTCTCCTCACTACTCCAAGGACCCCCAAACCACATCCCTTCCACAGCATCTGGGAATCTCCCCCCACCCCCCACTCCCTTGAGCAGCTTTTGCCTCCTTCAGTCCAGTGTGCTTACCTCTCTCCCCTGGCAGAGAACCCAGGTGCTGGGGGGGTCTCCTCTGGATGCCTTGCCAACTTCTTTTTTTTTCTTTCCAACTTCTTCTCTTGGTGAGGCTACGCAAAATCTTCTGGGGCCAGGATGTGCAAACGCTTCCTGGAATGGGGTAGAACAGTGACAAAACAGGAAGAACAAAAAAACACATGTTAATATCTCAAGAAAGTATCCAGCCACCATAATGAAGGGGCTTCCAGGCTCTGAGGGAAGACCACTGAGCTGAGGGGCCTTTGCACTCTATTCCAGGGAAGATAATGGATGCCCAGAAGAAGTGGGACATTTGGAGCCCCAGACAAACCAATGACACAGACTGAGACACTGTGGAGCTGGATGCCTTTCTGTGTGTTTGTTAGAGTATGAGAAGCCCGCTGGGAACAAGTAAGGGCATCCCTAACCATCAGTGTCCATTGCCCAAGAGAGATGGCAGAAGTGGGTTGGTCCAAATCCTTTCCGTTGTAAATGTGGAGGGCTAACATTTTGAAATATTCTCTGGCCAGGTGCGGTGGCTCACACATGTAATCTCAGGTACTTGGGAGGCTGAGGCAGGAGGATCACTTGAGCCCAGGGGTTCCAGGCTGCAGTGAGCTGCAATTTTGCCACTGTACTCCAACCTGGGTGACAGAGAGAGACCTCATCTCTAGAAAAAAAAAAAAAAACAACTTCTGATTTATTTCATCTGTATCTCTCCCTCCTCCCCTCCCACTCCCCAGCCCTTCTAGCAGTTGGGGTAGGAGGGTGGGCAGTCAGCAGAAAGCAGAGCCAAGCAGCATCTTCTGCCTCATAAATTTCAAACATGAGACCTCATGGGAACTGAAAGGATTTATGACATAGGCCAGGTATTTAGGAGAAATGGACACTAAGAACAACCATCCCCTCACCTTCCAACAGAAAGGGGTTCCCTTGTGCTGGTGGGGCAGAGGGGCCATAATAACAATGTGCACATTTGTGGGTATTAGAGAAAGGGGTCCCTGGGCTGAGTCCTGGGGAGGTGGCAGAAATGGCAGACAGGTTTGTGGGGTCAGACAGAAAGCTCTGTCTTGCTTCGTCTTTGAGCCAAAGGGGACCTGGTGCCCCTGAGTTGGGGGCACTGTGTGGTGCCCAGTCACACTCTCCGTGGTGTCCTCAGTGAGTGGCACTCATTGAGGGACAGGAGGAGCAGAGCTGCTCCCAATAGAGAAGCACTGGAGCCCACACTGCCTAAAGTGGGAATGACCCAAATAGCCTTCAGCAGGAGAAAGGGGAGGAAAATTGTGGCATATGCATGCAGTGGAATATTTCTCAGCACTGAAAATGAATGTTCCTATAACTGCATGTGATAACAGGCAAATCTGCAGACATAAAGTCGAGTGAAAGAAGCCAGCTGTGAAAGAGCACATTGTATGATTCCATTTATATAAAGCTCAGGTCCAGGCAAAATGGTAGTAGTGAGGAGAGAGGTTGTCCTTTGGGGAGGGTAGTAACTAAAAGGCACAGGAGGGGGCCCCTGGCATCCTGGGAATGTCCTTTCCTTAATCTAGGCACTGGTTGCATGCATATGCTGTTTGCGAAAGTTCTTTGAGCTGTACATTTAAAATTAATGCACTTCTCTGTATGTATGTTTTATTTATATAAAAACATTTTTTTAAAAGATAGAAGTAGCTGGATGCAGTGGCTCACGCCTGTAATCCCAGCACTTTGGGAGGCCAAGGCGGATGGATCACCTGAGGTCGGGAGTTCGAGACCAGCCTGACCAACATGGTGAAACCCCATCTCTACTAAAAATACAAAAATTAGCCGGGTGTGGTGGCACATGCCTGTAATCCCACCTTCCTGGAGGCTGGGAGGTGGAGGTGAGCTGAGATCGCACTACTGCATTCCAGCATTCCAGCCTGGGCTACAAATGAGACTCTGTCTTTCAAAAAAAAAAAAAAAAAAAAAGGACTTTCTGCTCTTTCCTGCTTGACATCTTCCTTGACTCCATCTTCTTTTTGATCACCTTTTTATGGCTTCCTGAACTGATCTCATGGATTTTTTATCTGCATCAAAAATGGAAATGGATTAGATGTTGCGATTTTTAGGGTATAAAATTCAATGATTAATTTTATGTGTCAATTTGATTGTGTTGCACTACAGGGTGCCCAGATTAAATAACATTTCTTGGTGTGTCTCTGAGGGTGTTTCTAGGTGAGATTAGCATTGTGGACTCAGTAGATTGTCTTCGCCAGTGTGGTGGGCATCATCTAATCTGCTGAGAGCCTGAACAGAACGAAAAGAGGAAAGAGAAATTCACTACTGTTTCTTCCCGCCTGCGCGCTGGAACTGGAATATCAGTCTTCTTCTCTCCTTGGACTGAGATTTGTACTATTAGCTCCCCTGGTTCCTCTGGTCCACAAGATTGTGGACATAGACTGGAATTATATTACTGGCTTTCCTGGGTCTCAGTTCGCTGATGGCAGACTGTGGGACTTTAGAGCCTCCATAATAATGTGAGCCAATTCCTCATTCTATCTATCAATCTATATATCGATTGATTGATCGATCGATAGATCGATCTATCTAATCTATCTATCTACTTATCTATCTATCATATCATCTACTGATTTCTCTCTCTCTCTTCTTTTTTTTTTTTTTGAGACAAGATCTCACTCTGTTGCCTAGGCTGGAGTGCAGTGGCACAATCCTAGCTCATTGCAGCCTTGACTTCCCAGGCTCAAGCAATCCTCCAGCCTCATCCTCCTGAGTAGCTAGGACTACAGGTGCCCACCACCATGCCCAACTAATTTTTAAACTTTTTTTACAGATGAGGTCTCACTATGTTGCCCAGGCTGGTCTCTAACTCCTGGGCTCAAGCGATCCTCTCACCTCGGCCTCCCAAAGTGCTAGGATTACAGGCATGAGCCACCGTGCCTGGCCCTGATTTCTCCTATTGGGTCTGCTTCCCTGGAGTACCCTAATACAGATGGGTTTGTGTTATTGAGAGCCCTATTTGCTGCCTCCTTCACAAGATGCTAGCTGAACTCTTGAGCATGGGCATCAGCATTGGTAAATCTGGCAGTAAGGCCTGTGGGCTGCTCACATCAGCCAGGCAGACATTTGATTAAGTTTGAGATCTTGATGTCTTCACCAGAGCCACTAAGTTTTATATATGCCATTGTTGAAGCCAACCCCAACTCACCTGGCAATCAGCTGGAGGAAGGGGACTACTTCTATTCATTGCAGATTTAAAAGTTGGCTACATATCCTTTGCTACTTCTCCCATTGGGAGGTGGGGACCCCTTAAATCTGGGTGGCTGTGTGGCTGCTCGAGCGACACAAATTGTTGGAAGTGATGCTAAACCAGCTTCCAGCACAGGATTCAATAGCACCTTCCACCTCCTGTCTCCTGGAGCATTCTCTGGGAGCCTGAATCACCATGTAAAAAGTTCAAAATCAGGCTGGGCACGGTGGCTCACACCTGTAATCCCAGCACTTTGGGAGGCTGAGGCGGGCGGATCATGAGGTCAGGAGTTCAAGACCAGCCTGGCCAACATGGTGAAATGCCGTCTCTACTAAAAATACAAAAATTAGCTGGATGTGGTGGTGCGCACCTGTAATCCCAGCTACTCAGGGGGCTGAGGCAGGAGAATTGCTTGAACCCCGGAGGTGGAGGTTGCAGTGAGCTGAGATTGCACCACTGCACTCCAGCTCTGGGTGACAGAACAAGACTCTGTCTCAGGAAAAAAAAAAAAAAAAAAAAAAGTTTCAAATTCAGGCTGGGCACAGTGGTGCTCCGTAATCCTAGAACTTTGGGAGGCTGAGGCAGGGGGATTACTTGAGGTCAGAAGTTCAGACCAGCCTGGTCAACATAGTGAGAGTCCATATCTACAAAAAAGAAAAGATTAGCCGGGAATGGTGGCTCACGCCTGTAGTCCCAGCTACTCAAGAGGCTGAGGCAGGAGGATTGCTTGAGACCTTTAAGGTTGTAGTCAGCTATGACCATGCCATTGCACACCAGCCTAGGCAACAGAGCGAGACCCTGTACCCCTCTTCCCCCCAAAAGAAGAAGTTCAAATTCCCTGCCACTGCCTGCTGGAGTGGCCGAGTATGGTACTCTGGCCAACCACTAGCAGAGCCCAGCTGTCCCCACAAAGGTGACAAAAATGTGAAGGAAGCTGTCTTGAACACTCCAGACCAGCCAGCTGCCGAAGATGGCATTGAGTGACTCCAGTTAACATCAAGCAGAGTAGAATTGCTGAACTGACAGACACAATTTTTTATGTAAGGAAGTGGCTGTTGTTGTAAGCCACTAGGTTTGGGATGGCGGTTGCTCAGTGATAGATAACTGAAACAGCTGTATCTGCACCTGGACCAGAGCTTTCATGCCCAGGGTGAGTAGCTTCTTGGTTCTGTAAGGCTCTGTCTCCTTCAACTCACTTTGCCGGGTTGCGGCTACAGCATTACCCAGCTCTTCATTCCATTACAGTTCATCAAAGCTCCCATGCCAGGCTTGTGGCAGGGTAATTTACTGTGGAATTGTTTTGTTTTGTTCTTGTTGCTCTGTGTATACTCCCCTCACCAAGAGAGTTACTGGGCTTTTTGTTCCCAATTCTGAGGCTCTTTCTTGAGTATGGAGAAGGTGGGTAGTGATGGCATTTGGATTATGCGCAAACACCTAGGCTAAGAGAGGCAGAAGTGGACTGTGGGTGTGTCTTGAGCAGAGGTTGAGATTCTCTAGGGTCTGGAAATTTGGTGCTTTCTCCCCACGAGTGAGGAGACCCCCACTTCTGCCCAGAGCATTCCCAGGCTGAAGGATTGCTGGAGAATGCCCAGAGAAGCCATGATTTCTCCCAGCTAGGGGCACAGAGGCCAGGGTCCCCAGGGAGATTCTACTATGGGTGATGTGGACATTGCTGATGTGAGGGGAAGTGCTGGGCCTGACCCAGAGGACATCACTCCAGGACTTGACTGTAGCCTCTGAAAGTAGAGGCAGCTAGAGAAACAATAGTGGCTTCTATGGGCTAAATGTCTCTGTCCCCCCATAATTAATATGTTGAAAACCCAACCCCCAGTGTGATGATATTTGGAGGTGGGGCCTTTTGGAGGTACTTAGGTTTAGCTGAGGTCATAAGGGTGGAGCCCCCATGTGTGATTAGTGCCCTTATAAGACGAGTTAGAGACCAGAGCTCTCTCTCGGCCATCGGTAGTGAGAAGGCTGCAGTCTGAGAATCAGGAAGAGAGCCCTCAGCAGACATCAAATCTGCTGGTACCTGGATCTTGGACTTCCTAGTCTCCAGAACTGTGAGAAATACATATTCATTCAGCTGGGTGTAGTGGCTCACACCTGTAATCCTAGTACAGGTTTGGGAGACCAAGGTGGGCAGATTACTTGAGCCCAGGAGTTTGAGACCAGCCTGGGCAACATGGGGAAAACCCCATCTCTACAAAAATACAAAAACTTAGGCTGGCATGGTGGCTCATGCCTGTAATCCCAGCACTTTGGGAGGCCAAGAAGGGCAGATCACCTGAGGTCAGGAGTTCAAAACCAGCCTGGCCAACATGGTGAAACCCCATCTCTACTAAAAATACAAAGAATTAGCTGGGCATGGTGGCGGGCACCTGTAGTCCCAGCTATTCAGGAGGCTGAGGCAGGACAATTGCTTGAACCTGGGAGGCGGAGGTTGCAGTGAGCCGAGATTGTGCCACTGCACTCCAGCCTGGGTGACAGAGCGAGACTGTGTCTAAAAAAAAAAAAAAAAAGAAAAATTAGCCAGATGTGGTGGTATGCACCTATAGTCCCAGCTGCGCGGGAGGCTGAGGTAGGAGGATCACCTGAGCCTGGAAGGTTGAGGATGTAGTGAGGTGACATTGCAACACTGCCCTCCAGCCTGAGTGATACAGTGAGACCCTGTCTCAAAAACAAACAAAAACATATTTGTCATTTAAGTCACCTAGTCTCTGGTATTCTGTCACAGCAGCTAGAGCGAACTAAGTTGGCTATCCTGAGTACTAAGGACCTGGCCTTGCTCCCAGCTTTTCTGGTACTGCCTAAGCCCCTGGTATTTTGTAATGTGTTGGAGGGAGGAGACAGCCCCACTAATGACTAGGGTTGAATTTCCTCCCAGTCTTCTGGGTAGGACACAGAGCAGATTACATTTGATTGAGTAAAAGTAAGGAATGTGACATTTCATGCACATTTTATAGCCCCAAATGACAAAAATAACATGCTTCTCAAGCCACCTGGAACATTTTATAGCTTTCTGTTTTTTTTGCATTGTAGGCTCCTGTGTCCATCAATTTATCAGCATTTTTCTTGGCAAGGATTCCCTGAAATGTCTCCAAGTTTGGAAATTTTGTCTTTATGAAAAGTGGGGCATGGGACCAGAGGAGGGACTTGGTCAGAAAAACAAAATACGATTATTTTTGATCCATGTCCTTATTTCTTGGTTACTAAATAGCTGCCCTCTGTATTTCTTTGATTTTAATAAATCGTCCAGATATGGATTTTTAAAATTCTATGTATGTTTTTTGAGACAGGGTTTTGCTCTGTCACCCACGCTGAAGTGCAGTGGCTCACTGAAGCCTTCAACTCTTGGGCTCAAGCAATCCTCCCACCTCAGCCTCATGAGTAGCTGGGACTACAGCCATGTGGCACCATGCCTGGCTAATTTTTAAAATTTTTTTAGTAGAGACAAAGTCTTGCTATGTTGCCAGGCTGGTCTTGAACTCCTGAACTCGTCATCCTCCCACCTTGGCCTCCTAAAGTGCTGGGATTACAAGTGTGATCCACCACACCCAGGCCTAGTTTTTAAAATGATATTTCATTTATGTAGTTCAAATAAAAATGACATCAATAAGTACATGAGAAATATCACTCCTACCCCACACTTACCCTCTCTTTTTCCCCTCACATTGCTCGTCAGTAACCATTTTTACCAGAATAGTGCCTTATTTATTCTCCCAACGTTTCTTTATGCAAACATAAATAACATACTTTTATTTCCTCTTTTATTACACAAAAAAAGCATGTTATATACATCTTGCTCCTTCCTTTTAAAATCGTAACTAAATATACTGGGTATCCTTCCCTATCACCACGTAAAGCTGTTCCTCCTGCCTTTTTCATTTTGACAGCTCTATAGTATTCCATTGGTGGATCGACCAGAGCTGTGTGTTCGCCAGTCTCCTATTGCTGGGTTGTTGGGCTGTTTCTGATCCGTTGTTATTATAAATAATGCCACAATGAATAACCTTATACCTAAGCAAGTTTACCTTTGTGTAGGTGAATCTATAAGATAGATTCCCAGAAGGGGGATCTCTGGGTCAAAGGGTTTGTGCATGTATAGTTCTGGTAGATATTGCAGGTCTGCTCCACAGAACTGTGCCATCTGCACTGCTGCCAGCAATGCATGGGACAGTCTGTTTCCTCTCAGCCTCCTTCACACACTGTGATATCATATTCTGGACTCTTGCCAACCAAGGAAAGATTTATGTATAAGTTCAACATGGATGCACTTAGGCTAATTCTCCTTCCTGCATTTCCTTCAGAACATCCTCAGTCTCCTCACTCATTTCAGATACCTTAATTAGCTTCCATTTTTCATGACACAGGTTAGCCATGTTTATATTTCCTTCGTGATCATCACAGTTATGAAAGATTTCTTCTTGGGTTGATAGGTTAAGTAACCATGGTCCAGTATTGGTTATTGCAATCAAACCAACAGCTACAGGTGGCTTGGATTGTTTTAGATGGAATTGGTCTCAAATTTAAAAGGTCACTTTGTCATTCTTTGTATCATTGTTATTCATGTCTGTATCTTTTACAAATATATTTATTTAATATTTAATAAGACAAATAAAATGTTAAAAATTATTTTGTCCTGGGAAAGCCCAAGCCTTCCTGCACAGAAGTTGAAATATTCAAAGGACAAGAAAAGGCCTCTGGTACGGTCCTGTCTTGGACAGTTTCCCCGGCCACCCAGCAGGCTGCCTATTGTGCTGTTTGAGATGCAAATGATCTCTTCTTATGCTGGGGAACCTTCTAGGCATGGCAGGGGCAGTGGAGAGGCTACTTCCTCTCTCTCTTTTTTTTTTTTTTTTTTTTTGAGACGGAATTCTCACTCTGTTACTAGGCTGGAGAGCGGTGGCATGATCTTGACACACTGCAACCTCTGCCTCCAGGGTTCAAGTGATTCTCCTGCCTCCGCCTCCCGAGTAGCTCGGACTACAGGCGCATGGCATCACGCCCAGCTAATTTTTGTATTTTCAGTAGAGACGGGGTTTCACCATGTTGGCCAGGATGGTCTCAATCTCTTGATCTCGTGATCTGCCTGCCTGAGCATCCCAAAGTGCTGGGATTACAGGCGTGAGCCACCGCACTCGGCCACTTCCTCTCTTTTTTTGCCCACTTCTCTAGCTAGTCCCAAGACTTGTTCAACTCTTTCTTATGGATGGTTTTGCAGAATACATACATGGAAACCGTCCACAAATTCTAGCCCACCAATTAATGCTGTCAGACTGGGAACTTCATGAAAAGCCTGCTTGAAACAAAAAATTGAAAATAAGTGGCTTAAACAAGGTAGATATTTATTTCTCTGCTTTATCCACGAGGTCTGAGATGAAACGTCCAGGGCAGGTGTGGAGGCTCCCTGGCATGATGGACCCAGGCTCCTGTCTTCTGTTCCTGTCATCTTAGTGTGCTTCCTTCTACCCTTAGGGTGGCCTCATGGTCTGAGATGGCTTCAGGACTCTCCACTTCAGGCCTTTTGGAGTCCATGATTTCTTTTCTTTTTTTTTTTTTTGAGATGGAGTTTCTGTCTTGTTGCCCAAGCTGGAGCACAGTGATATGATCTTGGCTCACTGCAACCTCTGCCTCCCAGGTTCAAGCGATTCTCCTGCCTCAGCCGCCCGAGTAGCTGGGATTACAGGCACCTGCCACTGTGCCTGGCTAATTTCTGTATTTTTAGTAGAGACAGGGTTTTACCATGTTGGCCAGGCTGGTCTCGAACTCCTAACCTCAGGTGATCCACCCGCCTTGGCCTCCCAAAGTGCTGGGATTACAGGAGCGAGCCACCGCGCCCATCCATGATGTTCTCATGGCCAACATCCTGAGGTCTCCCAAAGGCAAGGGCTTCTTTGCTTGCCCACTGGTTTGGGTACAGATATATTTGTGGACTCTGGAGTCCAGGTGTCAGGGTATAGCTTCCTGAGGTGCCCCAGGCAGCTGGTCTCCTCTGAGGCCTTGATGATAGCCCTTGACATGCCTGGGGCTGTGGAGCTGGGGATGGTCTCCACCCCACAGGGATCCACCTACCTCAGCCGGTATCCAGTCCAGGGCCTCTGTCTTCTTGGCTGCCCTCAAGGCACTGGGCTCCTTTAGACACTCCCCACCACACCCTTAATCCTCTCAGGGAACTCCAGTCTCCAGCAAACAAAGGCCTGAAAAGTGTCTACAAGGAAATTCTGAGTTCAGGTTTCTGAGGTGAAGGAGCACAAAGTCCTTTCTCCTGGCTTGGAAGTGCAGGGTGGTGCGAAGAGTGGGAGGGAGGCAGGGTTAGGTGAGGAAAAAACAGAAAACACAAATTAATTTGACAATGATATGTTAACTTAAAAATCACAACTTTAGGCTGGGCAGACAGTGGCTCTTGCCTGTGATCCCTGCACTTTGGTAGGTGGAGGTGGGAGGACTGCTTGAGGGTAAGAGTTCGAGACCAGCCTGGGCAACATAGTGAGGCCCTTTCTTTACCAATAAATAAATAAATAAATAAAAATTAGCTAGGTGTGCTGGCACACGCCTGTAGTCCTACCTACTCAGGAGGCTGAAGTGGATCCCAGTAGTTTGAGGCTGCAGGGAGCTATTTACTCCAGCCAGGGCAACAGAGTGAGACCCTGTCTCTTAAAAAAAAAAAAAAAGAAAAGAAAAATCATAAATTTGGAAAGGAGAGCTTTATTTCTTTTAAAGAGTTACTGCTGACTGGGCATTGTGGCTCACATCTGCAGTCCCAGCACTTTGGGAGGCTGAGGTGGGTGGATCGTTTGAACCCAGGAGTTCGAGACCAGCCTGGCAATACTGATGCAGAACTTTGCTCCTCAGTTCAGCTAAAACCGGGTTCTTGTCACATGACCAGGAAAAGTTAAGCAGGCAGACACTTTGAAGGGTGAGGGGAATGGAATTTTTTGGGTGAAAAAGGAAAAGAAGAAAAGAAAAACCTCTCAGCAAAGAGCAAGGGGGGTTCCTGCCAACAGGTCCCCACTCCACAGATTGATTCCAGGCCACACACAGTAGCTGAAGAGGCCAGGCTCCTCCCCGACCACTGCACACTCGGCACGAACTTCCCGTGGCTCCACCCCATTTTCCCAGTATGCAGGCAGGTGATTCTCCAGGGACCCTCCCCTTTATCTGTCTCCTGCATCTATCATTATCTATTTTATTTTATACATTTAAAACACTATTCTGCCGGGTGTGGTGACCTGCACCTGTAGTCCCAGCTACTCAGGAAGCTGAGGCAGCAGGATCTCTTGAACTCAGGAGGTGGAGGCTGCAGTGAGCTATGATCATGACAATGCACTCCATCCTGGGCAACACAGCAAAACCTTGTCTCAAAACAAACAAACAAAAAACAAAACCCCACCATTATTCTCAGAAGTACAGCAGCTTTCACAAATTGCCAAAGGGGTCTGTTTTAGGTTAGTTTCCTTCAGAAGCAGATCTGGAGACAAAGATTTGAAGCAAGGAGGTTATTAGAGAGGAAATCCCTGGCATAATTGATAAAGTAGACAGGAAAGGGCAGAAGCCAGCATGGGGTGCATCGATGAGCAATGAACTTAATGAACTCCTTGGCTCAATCCCACTGGGACCTTCAAGAGACTACTGTATAGAGCATGCCTCGGAGTCATCCTACCCTTGAGGAAGCTGGGGTATTTCTTCACCAAATCCCATTTCACTTGAGGGCTGCCCCCAGGGCACTGACATTTCTAGCCTGCCCTACCCATGGGTAGTGCTCCTGTGACTAGGGTAAGTCCTCAACAGTGTCAGAGGCTTAAAGACGGAGCCATCTGAATGGCAACCTTAGAGGACAAGTGGGTAGGGCACAAAGTTTGGCTACAAGGCCTGCAGCACTAAAAGGTTAGGAACGCCTCAGAGCTGCCCCTTTTAGGATGGACCCACTCAGCTCCCCGGTTCCCACTCCCTGACATCTGCTTTCTGTCCGCTGCTCAGTGTCTCCAGTGGATTCACAAAACAACTGCCTTTCTCCCTTTCCACCTCAGTTCATTATCAAGAACAACCCTGGGGTTTCCCACCTTAATCAGGCTGCTCCGGCCTCTGCCCACAGCCCTTCTGACACCTGGTTTATGTGTGACCCTGCCACCCTTAACCCCCAGCAGCAGGGGATGTCAGCTTTCTTTCAGGGAAGAACACAGACTCCTTTTGAGAGACTATAGTGAGATAATTTTGTAAACTGAAAATAAAATCCTAAGCCCCCCAGTTGACTTAATGGACCCCCTCTTGGCCAAGGGGACCCCAGAGAAACCTTAAAAACTGAGTTCCCAGGCAGGAGAGGATGGGAGGTCAGACACACCTCGTCATACCTCATCCCTTTTGTGGTTTAGACAACCACTGACCAGCATTAATAAACCAGAGATCATAAGACTGACAGAACAAAGTATTTGAGCCAATGAAAGACCAAACTATAAACAAGACTTAAGGCCATGGCAGGTCAGGGTTAAGTCACACACCCCTGCACTTAAAGAAAAAGTGTTCTGCCACAAGGTTTTAATTTTTCTCTAGCAGCCAAACAAACATTGGCCTTGAGATAAGCAAGATTAAAACAACTTGCAGATCGTCCATCAGCCAAAACTACAGCTTGGGTTGAACACGAGACTGATTTCAGTAACCTTCTCCTGATAAGAAGACTACTGACCATGGACTGGTTCTGGCTGGTTTACAGATGCTGCATACTTGAGTTTGCTTGTGTCCTGAAAAGACCTTTTGATGTATAAGACCTAATTGTAATACATTTATTTTTTTTTAATTAATTTTTTTTTTTTTTGAGACGGAGTCTCACTATCGCTTAGGCTGGAGTGCAGTGGTGCGATCTCGGCTCACTGCAAGCTCTGCCTCCCAGGTTCATGCCATTCTCTTGCCTCAGCCTCCCGAGTAGCTGGGACTACAGGCACCCGCTACCATGCCCGGCTAATTTTTTTTGTATTTTTAGTAGAGACGGGGTTTCACCCTGTTAGCCAGGATGGCCTCGATCTCCTGACCTCATGATCCATCTGCCTCAGCCTCCCAAAGTGCTGGGATTACAGGTGTAAGCCACCGCGCCTGGCCAGCTGTAATACATTTAAATGCTAAGTCTCCACCCTAAGGTGCACATGGGTCATATGCAATATACTAGTTTATTCAGTATATGTGCTTCAGGACCACTTTCATGAATATTCATAGCTCCTTCTGTAACCTGTTGAATATGTATACTTGGCCAACCCAGTCAGATTAAATTCCTTTCTTATTCCTCCTCGTCCCTCAAAGTTCATTCTCTAGGCTCTGCCAGAGGCTATGCTTCCCACTAGTCCGAATGGTACATTGTAGGCTGCAACTCTTTATTTTTATTTTATTTTTAAATTTATTTTTGAGACACGGTCTCACTCTGTCACCCAGGCTGGAGTGCAGTGGTGCAATCACAGCTCACTGCAGCCTCGACCTCCCAGGCTCAGGTGATTCTCCAACCTCAGCCTTTCAAGTAGCTGGGACCACATCCGTGCACCACCAGGCCCAGTTAACTTTCACAATTTTCTTGGAGACAGGGTTTCACCATATTGATAGATGCAGGAGGTAGATAAGGGAAAGGGTCCCCAGAGAATCTCTGACCTGCCTATGCACTTGGGAGAAGGGGGTGGAGCCACGGGAAGTTCGTGCCATGTGCAGTTGGGGAGGAGCCTGGCCTCTTCAGTTCTTGTGTGTAGCCTGGAATCAGTCTGGGGGTGGGGGTGCTGTTGGCAGGAACTCTTCTTGCTTTGCTGAGAGATTTTTTTTTCTTCTTTTCCTTTTTCACCCAATAAATTCTGTTCCCCTCACCCTTCAATGCGTCTGCGTTCCTAGCTTTTCCTGCTTGTGTGACAAGAACCTGGTTTTAGGGTTTAAGGAACAAAGTTCTGCATCAATAAGATTCAAAAGAAATCATTCTATTGAAATATGATTCTAGGCACAGGCTAGTTGGGGGTCTCTGAGCCCCAGATCCCACAGCTGTGCTGAGATGCCTGCCCACAAGCTCAAGGAGCATGTCTAGGAGTCCACGGAGGCAAGCAGAGGCAGGAAGAGGAGACCAGAATTCAGCTGCCGGTGGTGAGCCTCAGGAAACTCTTTATCAAAGCCTAGAAAAGCCAAAGGTGGGCCCGAGAGGGAAGAAAGAGACAAAGAGATGGGAAGAAGATGGAAGTAGGACACTTAGAGTGGGAAGGAAAAAGAGCAAGAGAAAGTGAGAGGGAGCAGCAGAGCCCTGGGAAGGGAGCTTGAAGGGGTGGGGCACGTTTGGAAGCCTCTGTGATTATTTGGGGAAGGCTGATTTTCTAGTGCCTTGGGCTGGGCCCATGCAGGTTACTTCCTACCCAGCTACCTTCCTGGCTCTTCTGCCCAGGGAGCTCCTTCTGCCAGTCCCCAGCCTACTGCACTTCTTCCTTATATGCTTGGAGTGTGTGGAATGCTGCTCACCACTCTGGGGCAGTTGGAGACTGAGATAACTCCCTCCCTGGAATGTAGGGAATTTGGTGTGCTGGAAAGAGAGAAAGAGAGAGGGAGACAGAATGTACCTTGCAGCAGCACAGCTGGGTTCTGGATGGGCTCCATCTCTGAAAGAGAGGGGCAAAAGGGTTGGGGAAGGGGTAGCTGCCGGTCTTAGTGAAGGGTCCCCGAGGCACTAGCGTGTCCTCACATTTGTGCTGCCTGCTTCCCAGAAGACTCAGCACATGGGGAAAGTGGTGCCAAGGGCACACCCACCAGCCACACTGTGGAGCTTGGACACCTGGGGCAGGATATTCAGTAGTCGGCCTGGGGACCTCCAAAGATGCTTTCCCATTCCTTAGCCTGTCAGCCTTGGTAGGGACATCACTTTCCTCCTTATCCTTCAATGAGGACATTCAAGACAACATCCCTGAGCTGGAGGAAACCCAGCCTCACCTCCTCCTTCCACCCCTCATCTCCTAAGCTCCCCATCAGTGGTGTCTGGGGTGTGGAACGTGGGGAGGCAAGGAAGACAGCTCACCTGGCCCAGGCTTCAATGCTCAGCCCCTCTTATTCCTTCTAGCAAGAGCTTCTTGCAAATACCTCAATTTTTTTTTTTATCTTCTGCAGCTGATGCTCAAACTGTCAACTTGTTACTTGAGACCATGAATGTTGGTTATAAGAATTTGTTGACTTTTTAAAAAAATAAAAATGATGTTTGCCCACTTAAAGTTTTAAATTCTGTTTTTCAGAGGAGTTTTTTTTTTTTTTTTTTTTGAGACAGTCACCCTCTGTTGATATGGCTCTGATGAGTGGAGGAACACCAGGGCTCTTGTCTCACATCGAATTAGATAAGATGACACGAACACACGTGGAGTGGTTTTAAGGAGCGGAGAGTTTAATAGGCAAGAAAGAAGGGAGAAGAAAGAAAGAAGAAACTCCCTTGTACAGAGACAGAGGGAGGGGGGCTCCAAAGCCGAGAGATGGAACCCCGCACTTAGGTAATACCAGCCAGCTATATTCGATGGGTGGAGGAGGCAGTATCTGATCTGCATAGGACTCAGGGGATTGGTTTGACCAGGCATGTCATTCATGTAGCCGGCGAAAAAGCTGGCCCTCCCACCCTAGCCTTTTAATATGCAAATGTAGGGCTGTGTCATGTTCCACACACGTGGGGATATGTGGGGGCGGCCATGCTGCCAGGCACATGTAGGGGCAAGGGCAAGAGGACAAAGGTGGGAATAGCCTTGTTGGGTGGACCCAGTTTCTAACAGCTAGCGTTTGCATATCAAAGGTTGCTGGCCCAAGTCTAAGAGCCAGGGCTTTCATGCTAGACAAGAGCTGTGAAAAATTTTCCATGGACCTTTTTCCTCTCTATCTGCCTAAAATAATTTCTTAATAACTCCTACCTCACTGTAGCCTAGGTTGGAGTGCAGTGTGGCAACATCTCGGCTCACTGCAACCTCCGCCTCTCGGGTTCAAGCAATTCTCTTGCCATAGCCACCCACATAGCTGGGACTACAGGCACCCACCACCAAGCCCGGCTAGTTTTTTGTATTTTAGTAGAGAGGGGTCTCACCATGTTGGCCAGGCTGGTCTTGAGCTCCTGAGCTCAAGCAATCCACCTGCCTTGGCCTCCCAAAGTGCTGGAATTACAAGCATGAACCACTGTACCTGGCCTTTCATAGGAGATTAATGGCTGATTTTACCCACCAACCTGGTGATCATGAACCAGCCATCTATAACCTTGTTGATCTAGCTCAACCCATTATATAAAACTGTGCTTGGATTGTATGGAATGCTACACACTTACAATTAAAGATATTTAGAGCTGGGCATGGTGGGTCACACATGTAATCATAGCACTTTGGAAGGCCAAGGAGGGAGGATTGTTTGAACCTGGGATTTCCAGAGCAGCCTAGGCAACATAGTGAGAACCCATTTCTTTTTTTGTCTTTTCTTTTCTTTTCTTTTTTTTTTGAGATGGAGTTTTGCTCTTGTTGCCCAGGCTGGAGTGCAATTGCGCGGTCTCAGCTCACTGCAACCTCTGCCTCCTGGGTTCAAGTGATTCTCCTGCCTCAGCCTCTTGAGTAGCTGGGATTACAGGCACGTGCCACCATGCCCGGCTAAGTTTTTGTATTTTTAGTGGAGATGGGGTTTTACCATGTTGGCCAGGCTGGTCTCGAACTCCTGACCTCAGGTGATTCACCCCCCTCAGCCTCCTAAAGTGCTGGGATTACAGGCATGAGCCACCATGCCAGGTGGGGGTAGGTGGGGAAGCCCATTTCTATTAAAAAAAAAAAAAAAAAAGGCCAGGTGTGGTGGCTCATGCCTGTAATCCCAGCACTTTGGGAGGTCAAGGCAGGAGGATCACCTGAGATCAGGAGTTCGAGACAAGCCTGCCCAACATGGTGAAACCCCGTCTCCACTAAAAATACAAAAAATTAGCCGGGCATGGTAGCACGTGCCTGTAATCCCAGATACTCGGGAGGCTGAGGCAGGAGAATCACTTGAACCCAGGAGGCGGAGGTTGCAGTGAGTTGAGATCCTGCCACTGCACTCTAGCCTGGGTGACAGAGGGAGACTCCATCTCCAAAGGAAAAAAAAAAAGAGAAAGTAAAATTTGTACTTCAATTCAGAGATTATAAACAATGTATACTTGACTTTGTGGCAGTGATCACTATTGTACAATAGTTACTTAAACTCAGGAGGCAGAGGCTGCAGTGAGCCAAGATAGCTCCACTGCACTCCAGCCTGGGTGACAGAGCGAGACTCTGTCTCAAAAAAAAAAAAAAAAAAAAAGTTACTCACTCATTTGTTCTGCAGAATCTATTTATTGCTGTGTTCACAGAAAAGGAAGCATCAAGACGGCAAAGCTCTTTGATGAAAAGCCAGGCGTACTCACACACACAACTGAGAAAGTTCTGGAAGTAGGAGAAAACGTCTTTAAGGCATATAGGCTAAACTTATATAAATATTGTTAGTGTTTGCCAAAACAGGGATAATCTAGTAAAATCAGAGATACAAAGCCAGAACAGAGAATTGGTAAGTAAAAAATTGTTAAGAATGTATATTGGCTGGGCGCGATGGCTCATGCCTGTAATACTAGCACTTTGGGGAGGCTGAGGGGGGCAGATTGCTTGAGCTCAGGAGTTTGAGACCAGCCTGGGCAACCCTTTCACTACTGAAAATACAAAAAAAAAAAAAAAAAAAACCAAAAACAAAACTGGGCGTGCTGGTGCGCACGTGTGGTCCCAATTACCCTGGAGGCTAATGTGGAAGGATCGCTTGAGCCCAGAGTGTGGGGGTGGGGGTTGGGAGGCAAGGTTGCAGTGAGCCTGGATTGCACCACTGCACTTCAGCCTGGGTAACAGAGCGAGACCTTGTCTCAAAAAAAAAAAAAGTATCAAAAGGCCTAGGAATTTGTTCTCCAGGTAAATCTGCCCTCCCTCATCTCTAACCTTTATGAAATCACCCAAATGGAGACATCACAGCAAGGCCCCGACAAGGAAATGAGGAATGTAGGTGGATAAGGGACTGGAATAGTGCAGCACAACACTAACTACAGGTTTCAGCCCCAATGAGATTGCCCTCACTTCCGCCGCCAGCCACAAGTGTGGAGGTCCCCAGGCTACTCGCTCCTCTGACCAACTGGCTACTAATCTGGGGGGTACCCACAACCCCCTCGGGTTTGATAATTTGCTAGAACAACTCACCAAACTCAGGAGAATGTTATACTTACGATTACAGGCTTGTTACAAAGGATACAAATCAGGAGGACCAGACTAATGAAGACACACGTAGGGCGGGGTCTGGGCGGGTCTTCCATGCAGAGCTTCTGTGTCTTCTCTCTGTGAATCAGGTTGTGTCACCCTCCTGGCACATGGATGTGTTCACCAACCAGGAAGCTCCACCAAATTTTGGCGTCCAGAGTTTTCATTACATAGGCACAATTGGTTGACTCATTTGCCACCGAATTGAACGCAATCTCTAGTCCTCCCACCCTCCGTCGAGGTTGGGCTGGCTCTAAGACCCAATCCTTTTATTATGTGATCTTTCTGATGACCAACCTCCCATCGTGAGTTCTCTCTTAGCATAAGCCCAGGTGTGATCCAAGGGGCTCATGAATAACAAAGATACTCATATTACTCAGGAGATTCCAAGGATTTAGTTTCCCTCCTAGGAACCAGGGACAAAGGGCAGTCAAATTCTTTATTGTTATCACAGAGACACAGTAATATAATATGATACAGCAGAAGAGAGGTGAGGAATGTTGCCATGCCTTGAGAAGCCTATCACAAGAGCTTTAAGGAATTCACACTTAAATATTAATAGGTACATTATGAAAGAAATCAGCCAAGTACAGTCTTTTCTTATTATGGAATCTAGTTATTGCAGGAATTGAAAAATTGATGTAATAAAGCCTAGAATGCAATAAAGGAATCGGCATTCAAGTAGATGAGAGAGGTTGGGGAATATGTCAAGATGCAAAAGTGAGAGAGCTGTCACAGTTTACTTACTCTGCAATCTCTGAGGATGGAACAGGATCAAAGATGAAGCCAGGAAGCACAGAGTAGTTTTCTTCCTCCCTAATCTCATCCCTTGTTTTCATTTGGCACTTTAAAAAATTTCCACATTTATATTCATATGGAATTGATTTTGAGTATAGAGAGATAATTCTAATTATTATTGTTTTTCAAATGTTAGCCAGTTGAACCATTTATCATAATCAAGGTGATAATATGGCTTATTTTCTTTGGCCTACAGAGATGATAAATTTGAATATATTTTAAAATATAAAACTATCTTTAAAATTTGAATATATTTGAATATGATACATTTGAATATATTTTAAAACATAGAGCTATCTTTGTACTCCTGGTTAGTCATGGTGCATTTTTTTTTAATACTTCATATTAAATTTTTACCTTCTGGATTGAGACACTAGAGTTCTTAAAGGTTCTTTCAGAAATTCTTCCTATATTCAGTATGCTACCAGAAAACCTCTTACAACTAACCTTACAGAAGATACTGTTTTCTTTGTACTTTGTCCAATATCAAAGGAAACCTCCAAGTTCCAAGGAGGTCAGGCTACTAATACCCACAAATGAATTCTGATGAGATCATTACACAATAAACAATAACTGTTGCTTATTACATGCTTACTTTGTACTAGGCAGGACTAAGATAAGTATTATTTAAGTTTTAAGATCATTCTTAATTTCTTGTCAAAAGTATACTGGTTTGCAAAGTAATGAATAAAATAAATCTTTAACAATATCCCTATAGTAAAGACAATGGTGAACTTCTTATGCCTCTTTTAAAAAACTCTGCTTATGATGACAATTTCAAACATACACAGAAGCCGTGAGTATATAATGAGTCTTGCTGTATCCATCACAAAGTTTTAAAAACTGTCAAAAGTTGACCATACTCACTTAATCTACTCCTACCACTTTTTCAGCTGGAGATCTTTTAAAGCAAATTCTACACATTGTGCCATATCATCCATAAATTATTTTGCATTACATCCCATTCTTATTGAGTCCCTGCAAGCTGAGAGCCGACTGCCAAAGCACAATTCACTGTAAGAGATTCTGTGAAGGGTTAAAACAAACAGTCCAAATTCACAGTGCTGCAAATGTCTGTAATTGCATAATCTGCAAAATATATTCTTCAAGAAATCCTCTGTGCACTTGGTTTCCCTTAACTGAGTTTTTTTTTCTTCTTCAGACCAGATTAATTGATGAGAACTGACAAGCAGGGGAGAGAGGTGATGTTTAAGGTTATATATTTTGGCAAAAAATTATGAGTGTAAATTGTGCTTGTTTCTGATTAAGAGAGGTCCATTAATCAGAAAGTAAACTTGGCATCCTCGTAGAAAAATCACATAGCTTAACAAGAATTCATGACTCTGAATTGCTGCACAGACAGGTAGCATGAGTTCTTGGCAGGATTCTTTCAGCTGAGCTGTTTTCCATTAGAATGGTGTCTGATATGGTTTAGCTGGGTCTCCACCCAAATCTCATCTTGAATTGTAGTTCCCTTAATCCCCACGTGTCATGAGAGGGACCTGGTGGGAGGTAACTGAATCATGAGGGGCAGGTTTTTCCCATGCTATTCTTCTTGTGATAGTGAATAAGTCTCATGAGATCTCATGGTTTTATAAAGGTAGTTCTGCACACGCTCTTGCCTGCTGCCATGTAAGACATGCCTTTGCTCCTCCTTCATCTTCCACCATGATTTTGAGGGCCTCCTCAGCCATGTGGAACTGTGAATGCATTAAACCTCTTTTTCTTTATAAATTACCCAGTGTCAGGTATTTATTCATAGCAGTATGAAAACGGACTAATACGGCTGGGTGCAGTGGCTCATGCCTGTAATCCTAGCACTTTGAGAGGCCGAGGCAGGTGAATCATTTGAGGCCAGGAGTTCAAGATCAGCCTGGTGGTCAATATGGTGAAACCCCATCTCTACTAAACAAACAAACAAAAAAAATTAGCCATGCATGGCGGTTGGCGCCTATAATCCCAGCTACTTAGAAGGCTGAGGAAGGAGAATTGCTTGAACCTGGGAGGTGGAGGGTGCAGTGAACCGAGATTGTGCCACCGTACTCCAGCCTGGGTGACAGAGCAAGACTGTCTCAAAAATAAAAATAAAAAAAGAAAATGGATTAATACAGTAAATTGGTACCAGTAAAGTGGGGTACTGCTATAAAGATACCTGAAAATGTGGAAATGGGTAACAGGCAGAGGTTAGAAGTTTAGAGGGCTCAGAAGAAGACACAAAAATGTGGGAAAGTTTGGAACTTCCTCAAGACTTGGAGGGCTCAGAAGACAGGAAAATGTGGGAAACTTTGGAACTTCCTAGAGACTTGTTGAATGGCTTTGACCAAAATGCTGACAGTGATATGGACAATATTTGTCCAGGCTAAGGTGGTCTCAGATGGAGATAAGGAACTTGTTGGGACCTGGAGTAAAGGTCACTCTTCCTATGCAAAGAGACTGGCGGTATTTTGCCCCTGCCCTAGAGATCTGTGGAACTTTGAACTGAAAGAAATGACTTAGGGTATCTGGCAGAAGAAATTTCTAAGTGGTAAAGCTGTTCAAGTGGAAGTAGAGCATAAAAGTTTGGAAAATTTGCAGTCTGATGATGCGATAGAAAAGAAAAACCCATTTTCTAGGGAGAAATTCAAGTTTGCTGCAGAAATTTGCATAAGTAAAGAGGAGTGGAATGTTAATCACTAAGACAATGGGGAAAATGTCTCCAGGGAATATTAGAGAACTTCATAGCAGCCCCTCCCATCACAGGCCTGGAGGCCTAGGAGGGAAAAAGGGTTTGTGGGCTGGGCTAAGGGACCCCTGCTCTATGCAGCCTGGGGACATGGTGCCCTACATCCCAGCTACTTTAGCTCCAGCTGTGGCTAAAAAGGGCCAACCTACAGCTCAGGCCATTGCTTCAGAGGTTCCAAGCCCCAAGCCTTGATAGCTTACAAATGTGCTGGGCCTGTGGGTGCACAGAAGTCAAGAATTGAGGTTTGAGAACCTCTGCCTAGGTTTCAGAGCATGTATGTAAATGCCTAGATGTCTAGGCAGAAGTTTGCTGCAGGGGTGGAGCCCTTATGGAGAACCTCTGCTAGGGCAGTGCAGAAGGGAAATGTGGGGTCAGAGCCCCTACACAGAGTTCCCCACCGGGGCATTGCCTGGTGGAGCTGTGAGAAGAGGGCCACCATCCTCCAAACCCCAGAATGGTAGATCCACCAACAGCTTACACCATGCACCTGGAAAAGCTGGAGACACTCAACACTAGCCCATGAAAGCAGCTGGAAGGGGGGCTGTACCCTGCAAAGCCACAGAGGCAGAACTACCCAATGCTGTGGGAGCCCATCTCTCACATCAGCATGACCTGGATGTGAGACATGGAGTCAAAGGGGGAGCATTTTGGAACGTTAAGGTTTAATGACTGCCCTACTGTATTTCAGACTTGTATGGGGCTTGTGGCACCTTTATTTTGGCCAATGTATCCCATTGGAATGGGTGTATTTACCCAATGCCTGTACCCCCATTGTATCTAGGAAGTAACTAACTTGCTTTTGATTTACAGGCTCATAGGAAGAGGGACTTGCCTTGTCTCAGATGATACTTTGGAGTTGGACTTTTGAGTTAATGCTGAAATGAGTTAAGACTTTGGTGGACTGTTGAAAGGCATGATTGTGTGTTGAATTGTGAAGACATGAAATTTGGGAGGGGCCAGGGGAGGAATGATATGGTTTGGCTGTGTCTCCACCCAAATATCATCTTGAATTGTAGTTCCCATAATCCCCATGTGTCATGGGAGGGACTTGGTGGCAGGTAACTGAATCATGGGTGGCGGGTTTTTCCCATGCTATTGTCATGATAGTGAATAAGTCTTATGAGATCTGATGGTTTTATAAAGGGCTGTTCCCCTGAGCATGCTCTTGCCTGCTGCCATGTACAACATGCTTTTGCTCCTCCTTCACTTTCCACCATGATTATGAGGCCTCCACAGCCATGTGGAACTGTGAATCCATTAAATCTCTCTTCCTTCCTTCCCTTCCTTCCTTCCTTTCCTTCTTTCTTTTCTTTTCTTTTCTTTTCTTTTCTTTTCTTTCGAGTCTCACTCTGTCACCCAGGCTGGAGTGCAGTGGCATGATCTCGGCTCACTGCAACCTCCATCTCCTGGGTTCAAGTGATTCTCCTGCCTTAGCCTCCTGAGTAGCTGGGATTACAGGTATGTGTCATCACAGCTGGCTAATTTTTGTATTTTTAGTGGAGACGAGGTTTCACCATGTTGGCCAGGCTGGTCTTGAAATTCTGACCTCAGGTGATCCGCCTGCCTCAGCCTCCCAAAGTGCTGGGATTACAGGCATGAGCCACGCGCCCAGCTCAGAATTATAAATTACCCAGTCTTGGGTATTTCTTCATAGCAGTATGAAAATGGACTAATACATTATCTCTTGGAAGTGAATGGCCAGAGTGAAAGAAACCAGAAAAAAAAAAAAAAAAAGAAGAATACATACTATATGATTTCATTTATATAAAACTCTAGGAGAAGCAAATAATCTACAGTGACAGAAAGCAGATCAGTGAGTGTTTGAGAATGGGCATGGCAGGAGGGAAGGAAGTATAACGGGCATGAGAAAACTTTTGAGAGGTATGGATGTGTTCACTATCTTGATTGTGGTGACAGTTTCATAGTATACAAATACGACAAAACTGATCAAAGTGCACACTTTAAATCTGTGCAATTATGTCTCAATAATTTTTTTTTTTAAAGAATAGCCAAGGCCGGGTGCGGTGGCTCATGCCTGTAATCCCAGCACTTTGGGAGGCCGAGGCGGGCGGATCACGAGGTCAGGAGATCGAGACCATCCTGGCTAACATGGTGAAACCCCGTCTCTACTAAAAATACAAAAAATTAGCCGGGCAAGGTGGCAGGCGCCTGTAGTCCCAGCTACTCGGGAGGCTGAGGCAGGAGAATGGCGTGAACCCCAGGGGGCGGAGCCTGCAGTGAGCTGAGATTGCGCCACTGCACTCCAGCCTGAGTGACAGAGCAAGACTCCCTCTCAAAAAAAATAAAAATAAAAAAATAAAGAATAGCCAAGTGGTAGAAAGCCTGCAGATGCTGTTCCAGAGCTGTGCCCACAGCTCTGGGCCCAGGTCACAGGTATAACCTGCAATAAGAAGAGACAAGAGTCTGAGGGCTGACCATCTGTGGGCCCACAAGTTAAGGAAACCAAAGTTTGGGTGCACAAATCATTACTGGAAAGGGATCCTGATCCAGTCACTTCTCAAGAGAGGGTTCTTAGACATTGTGCAAGAAAGAATTTGGGGCGAGTCCACAGAGTAAAGTGAAAGCAAGTTTATTAAGAAATAAAGGAATAAAAGAGTGGTTACCTCATAGGTGGAGTGGCTCTGAGGGCTGCTAGTTGGCTATTTTTATGATTCTTTCTTTCTTTTCCTTTTTTTTTTTTTTTGAGACACAGTTTTGCTCTTGGAGTGCAATGGCGCGATCTCAGCTTATTGCAACCTCTGCCTCCTGGGTTTAAGCGATTCTCCTGCCTCAGCCTCCTGAGTAGCTGGGTTTACAGGCATGCACCACTCCCAGCTAATTTTGTATTTTTAGTAGAGATGGGGCTTCACCATGTTGGTCAGGCTGGTCTCCAACTCCTGACCTGAAGTGATCTGCCTGCCTTGGCCTCCCAAAGTGCTGGGACTACAGGCATGAGCCACAGCGCCTAGCCAATTATTTCTTAATCATATGCTAAACAAGGGGTGGGGTATCCATGAATTTTCTGGGAAAGGGATGGAGATTTCCTGGAACTGTGGGTTCTTCTTCCTTTTAGATCATATAGGGTAACTCTGGGACATTGCCATGACATTTATAAACCATCTTGGTGCTGGTGGGGGGTGACTTTTGGCATGCTAATGCATTATAATTAGCATGTAATGGGCAGTGAGGATGACCAAAAGTCACTTTTGTCACCATCTTGGTTTGGGCCGGCTTCTTTACTGCATCCTATTTTATCAGCGAGGTCTTTGTGGCCTGTATCTTGTGCTGACCTCCTATATCATCCTGTGACTAAGAATTCCCAACCTCCTGGGAATGCAGCCCAGCAGGTCTCAGCCTCATTTTACCCAGCCCCTATTTAAGATGGAGTTGCTCTGATTCAAACATCTCCGACAAAACCACTGATTGGGTATAGAGTCCCAACCAGCCAGTTATTGAAATTTTGTTTTTTTGTTATCACAGCCTAGCCTAATCTAACTAAAGAAAGGGGGATCAGGAAGCAACTTTATTTTCACTTCACCGTGTCCCTTTACATCCATTTTGTGGGATTTCTTCTCCTTTTGCCCCAAGATGAAATTTGGAGCAAGCCCCATGAACTTTCTAGTCATTTGTAGGTAATCTAAGGTCATTGGGTTACTCCAATTCCCCAAGGAGTTTAATAAGTAATTAAATGGTCCAATCTCATGTAATAGTAGAAACTTTAAACTTTATTTAAATTTGAGATTTCTTCCCGTACTTTATGCTATTTACAGACCAGCCACGCTCAATGGGAATTGAGGTGTGTGGTGACCTCTGATTTCCCACTTTGCGCTTTGTGGCAGAAATTGCAGTTATCACCAAATATTCATTCTCCTCTTCTTCCTGATTAGTAAGACTCCCAAATTTTTGCTGGACTTATGGCCAGCCTGAAACAAGACTACATTTTCCAGTATCCCTTGCAGCCAGGTGTGGCTGTGAGACTAACTTTTGGCCAACGGATCTGAATCAGAACAACATAAGCAACCTTTTGTTCTGCCCTCAAACAGCATGGGTGGCATTAGTTTCCCCTTTCCTTCTTTCCCTGGCTGGAATGCTGACCCAGCAGATGTGGGGAGCCATTTCAACCTTTCAAGAGAGAGCAGCCCTCGATGCAATGGCAGAGCAGCAAGACAGAAGGAGCTGGGGTCTCCAACACCGCGGAGTCACTCTATCCAGCCTAAGACTCCTGATGTTGGAACTGTTAATGAGAAACACACTTTGTCTTTTGACATACAGTTTTTCTCTCAGCTGCTGAACCTGGATTCTACCTACACAGGTTCATTGTGTATGCATGCTTCTATCCCTCCTCCCTCATCTTGCTAACTTGGACCCTGGACCTCTCCAGGGTTCCAGTGGTGAGAGGGAGGGGCCAGGAGGTTTCATTGCACTAGAATTACTGTGAGATGGCAGAAGCACTGCCTGGGTCATTAGGCATAGCTGATTCTTCCTTTCATCAGGCACTTCCGTTGATTTTTCTGAGCTAACACCTTCCCTTTGCTACGATTTCTCATCACCTAATTCCCTGAGGTGGACAAATGCCCTTCCTTAGGCTGGTCAACTATATTTCTTTCTGCAGCTTCTAAGAGTCTGACGATTCATCCCTCTATTAGGATCACCAAACCCCTTCAGATGACCCTTTTAGACAGAGTCTAATGCCATCCCCTGCCATCTCTCTCTTATGGTGGCCCCACCTGTGGTCCACAGGAAACATGAATCCAGTGCCCCCGGCAATTGCGGAAGGCTGGCAGCCCTGAAACCCAGCTACCTCCCTTGTTCCACCATCAGGGCAGGTAGCCAGACTCCTGGTGTTCTTTTTTGTTGTGTGTGTGTCTTTGTGTGTATATGTGTTTTTCCATTTCCAGAAATGAACCAGCTAGCTGCTCACCCTGTCCTCCAAATTGCAGGAACATATATTCAGCTCCCTGACGGGTACCACCAAAGGCCCTTTCCTGGGGCTCGAAGAAATACCCTCACTGAATTCAATTTCCTCAAGTAATTGAAGATCTTCCCCTTTCCCCTTTCCTGTTCCACTCGATGGCCCCCACTTTATGGGGACACTCCCAGGCCGGGGACTGCAGAGTTGCTCTGCTACTTTTGGACTCTGGTCCATCTCATTTTTTCCCCCCTCTCTTCCATTTAAGAGGAGATTCAACCTTTTTAGAAGCTCACTGTTTTGAGTAAGAGCCACTGTTTGCCAGATCCCAGCCCCCTCTGCCTCTACCATCTGCCTCATCTCTTCTATAGCTGCAGAGGAATTAACATCCTCGGAAGATCTAGTGAAGCTGCCTTCACTTTCTCTTTCTGCCTTCACATTTCTCTTTCAGCCCACCTCAACCTGAGGCCACAGGCAGCTGGGCTCCACCAGTGCCACTGCCACCATCCCAAAAGGCCAGGGGCTCTCATCCCAGTAGTAGTAATTAATCTGTCATGCACAATTCATAGTATTTCAACATTAGGTTCCAAATAAGTAACCTGAGCATCCCTGGGTCTTGCTAACCTATGGGAATGTGCAAATGGGGCCACCTTAAGATAGTAACAACATTTCAGTGTCTCCTTCTCTGCCCAAGTATTTCTGGGGGTCTGAGGGAAATCTCACTCGTGCTCCTAAATCCAGGCACCCAGGCCAACAGCAACTCTCCATCGCCTGCTGAGCATTCCCCCAGGGAACCGGAGCCCTTCAGGCATCAATTCTGCATTGGGCAGAGCAGTGTCTATGTCCAGTGGGGAAATGCCTTTCCCCTCTTTTGTGTTCCTGTTCACGAAGGGGCCACCCAAGCAATGCTGGTGGGCTCCAGCATTGTGCAGAGCTTGTAGAACCACAGCTTCTATGTTGACCTTCAGCTTTCTTTTTGCTTCGGATGGAGGCAGGACTGGACTAAATGTGGTGACAAACAACATTCATTTACTCTTTTATTCAACACATATTTCCTAAATTCCTTATCCATGCTAGCCACATGATGAACATGATAAACAAGATAAACGTGGTCTCTGTGCCCATGGAGTTTATGGTTTGGTACAAGATCAAAAAGCGGTATACACATACACAAACACGAACAAAAAAGCAGTTATGATTTAATGTCCAAGACTTTGTTATTGGTTCAAGTTTATCATGCATGGATGCTTCTTCTGCTTGGATGAGTTTTGTGCGTGCAGCTTGTCAACTCTCAGGCAAACAAACAGACCCTGTCAACCCACTGCGACCTCACTGCTCCCGGGCTGCCTGCTGGGGCCCAGTGAGGGAGGTTAACTCTTACTGTGCTAAAGTGTCTGATTTGTTTCAACACTCTAACAACCAAAGAAAACACTGATTGTATCTCTTAAAGAGCTTTTCTTCCTTCCCCATTCCACACTATGAATTTATGAATTCCAAACTTCACACTTTATGTAAATTTGAAGCTTCTGGCCAAGCGTGGTGGCTCATACCTGTAATCCTAGCACTGTGGGAAGCCAAAGCGGATGATTGCTTGAGCTCAGGAGTTCGAGACCAGCTTGGACAATGTGGTAAAACCCCGTCTCTACCAAAAATACAAAAATTAGCCAGGCATAGTGGCACACGCCTGTAATCGTAGCTACTGGGAGGCTGAGGAAGGAGGATCACTGGAGCCCAAGAAGTCAAGGCTGCAGTGAGCCATGATCATACCACTGCACTCCAGCCTTGGAGACGCAGCAAGACCCTGTCTCAAAAAAATAAAATAAAAATAAAATAAATAACATTTGAGGCTTCTTCACTTACTTTGTGCCATTTACAGGCCAGCTGCTCCTGGTGAGAATGGAGGTGTGTAGTGATCTCTCACTTCCCACTGTGTGCTTTGTGGCAGAAACTGCTGTTGTCCCCAAGTATCCATTCTCCTCTTCTTCCTTACTAATGAGACTCCCAAATTTTTGCTGGACTTGTGGCCATCCTGAATCAAGACTACATTTCCCAGTATCACATGCTGTGGGACTAGCTTTTGGCCAACATGATCTGAATCAAATGATGTGAGCAACCTTTTGTTCTGCCCTCAAATGGCAGGGGTGATGGCAAAAATTCTGGCAGCAAAAATGGATGATGTGGCCAGGCATGCTGGCTCACACCTATAATCCCAGCACTTTGGGAGGCTGAGATGGGTGGATCATCTGAGGTCAGGAGTTTGAGACCACCCTGGCCAACATGGTGAAACCCCATATCTACTAAAAATACAAAAATGAGCCAGATGTGGTGGCACCCACCTGTAGTACCAGCTACTCAGGAGGCTGAGGCAAGAGAATCACTTGAACTCAGGAGGCGGAGGTGGCAGTGAGAAGAGATTATGCCACTGCACTCTAGCCTGGGCAACAAAGCGAGACTCTGTCTCGAAAAAAAAAAAAAAAAACGATGGTGAAGGCCTATATATTAGTCTGTTTTCATGCTGCTGATAAAGACATGCCTGAGACTGGGTCATTTATAAAGAAAAAGGGGTTTAATGGACTCACAGTTCCATGTGGCAGGGGAGGCCTCACAAGCATGGCAGAAGGCAAAAGGCACATCTTACATGGTGGCAGACAAGAAGAGAATGAGAGACCAAGTGAAAGGGATTTCCCCTTATAAAACTATCCGATCTTGTGGGACTTACTACCACAAAAACAGTATGGGGGAAACCACTCCCTGTGATTCAATTATCTCCCATCAGGTCCCTCCCACAACACATGGGAATTATGGGAACTACAACTCAAGATGAGATTTGGGTGGGGACACAGCCCAACCATATCATTCTGCCCCAGCCCCTCCCAAATCTCATGTCCTCACATTTCAAAACCAATCATGCCTTCCCAACAGTCTTAACTCATTTCAGCATAAACTTAAAAGTCCACAGTCCAAAGTCTCATCTGAGACAAGGCAAGTCCCTTCCAACTATGAGGCTGCAAAATCAAAAGCAAGTTAGTTACTTCCTAGATATAGTGGGGGTATAGGCATTGGGTAAATACAGCTATTCCAAATGGGAGAAATTGGCCAAAACAAAGGGGCTACAGTCCCCATGCAAGTCCAAAATCCAGTGGGGCAGTCAAATCTTAAAGCTCCAAAATTATCTCCATTGACTCCATGTCTCACATCCAGGTAACACTGATACAAGAGATGGGTTCCCATGGCCTTGGGCAGCTCTGCCCCTGTGGCTTTACATGGTACAGCCCCTCTTCTGGCTGCTTTCATGGGCTGGTGTTGAGTGTCTGTTGTTTTTCCAGGCACACAGTGCAAGCTGTGGGCGGATCTACCATTCTGGGGTCTGGAGGATGGTGGCCCTCTTCTCACAGCTCCACTAGGCAGTGCCCCAGTGGAGACCCTGCATGGGGGCTTCAACCTCCCATTTTCCTCCCGCAGTGCCCTAGCAGAGGTCCTCCGTGAGAGCTCCACCGCTGCAGCAAACTTCTGCCTGGACATCCAGGTGAAATCTAGTTGGAGGTTCCCAAACCTCAATTCTTGACTTCAGTGCACCCACAGGCTCAACACCATGTGGAAGCTGCCAAGGCTTGGGGCTTGCACCCTCTGAAGCCATGACCCAAGCTGTACCTTGGCCCCTTTTAGCCATGGCTGGGATGCAGGCACCAAGTCTCCAGGCTGCACACAGCAGGGGGGCCCTAGGCCTGGCCCACAAAACCATTTTTTCTCCCTAGTCTCCAGGTCTGTGATGGGAGGGGCTGCTGCAAAGGTCTCTGACACGCCCTGGAGACATTTACCCCATTGTCTTGGTGATTAACATTTGACTCTTCATTACTTATGCAAACTTCTTCAGCTGGCTCGAATTTCTCCTCAGAAAATGATTTTTTTGGCTGGGCGTGGCGGCTCAGGCCTGTAATCCCAGCACTTTGGGAGGCTGAGGCAGGTGGATCACTTGAGTTCAGGAGTTCGAGACGAGCCTGGGCAAAACCCCATCTCTACAAAAAATACAAAAATTAGCTGGGCACGGTGGCTCACGCCTGTAATCCCAACACTTTGGGAGGCCACGGCAGGCAGATCACTTGAGGTCAGTAGTTCAAGACCAGCCTGGTCAGCCAACATGATGAAACCCTGTCTCTACTAAAAATACAAAATTAGCTGGACGTGGTGGCATGTGCCTGTAATTCCAGTTACTTGGGAGGCTGAGGCAAAAGAATTGCTTGAACCTGGGAGGCAGAGGTTGCAGTGAGCCAAGATCATGCCACTGCACTACAGCCTGGGTGACAGAGCTAGACTCCATCTCAAAAACAAACAAACAAAAAAGAAATGGGTTTTTATTTTCTATCACATCGTCAGGCTGCAAGTTTTCTGAACTTTTATGCTGTGTTTCAGTTTTAAAACTGAATGCTTTTAACAGCACCTACATCACCTCTTGAATGCTTTGCTGCTTAGAAATTTCTTCTGCCAGATACCCTAAATCATCTCCCTCAAGTTCAATGTTCCACAAATCTCTAGGTCAGGGGCAAAATGCCACCAGTCTTTGTGGTAAAACATAGCAAGAGTCACCTTTACTCCAGTTCCCAACAAGTTCCTCATCTCCATTTGAGACCACCTCAGCCTGTATTTCATTGTCCATATCATTATCAGGATTTTGGTCAAAGCCATTCAACAAGTCTCTAGGAAGTTCCATACTTTCCCACACTTTCCTGTCTTCTGAGCCCTCCAAACTGTTCCAGTCGCTACCTGTTACCCAGTTCCAAAGTTGCTTCCACATTTTTGGGTTACTTTACAGCAGCATCTCACTCCCATTACCAATGTACTGTATTAGTCCCTTTTCATGCTACTGATAAAAACATACCCAAGACTGGGTAATTTATAAAGAAAAAGAAGAGATTTAATGGACTCACAGTTCCACATGGCTGGGGAGGCCTCACAATCACAATTGAAGGCAAAAGCCATGTCTTACATGGTGGCAGACAAGAACAGAATGAGAGACTAAGTGAAAGGGGTTTCCCCTTATAAAACCATCAGATCTCATGAGACTTATTCACTACCATGAAAACAGTATAGGGGAAACCACCCCTGTGATTCAGTTATCTCCCACCAGGTCCCTCCTGCAACACATGGGAATTATAGGAGCTACAATTCAAGATGAGATTTGGCTGGGGACACAGCCAAACCATATCAGTTTATAATCCCAGCACTTTGGGAGGCCAAGACAGGATTATCACTTGAGGCCAGAAGTTGGAGACTTACTTGGGCAACATAGGGAGACTTCCTCTCTAAAAGCAAACAAAAAACCAAGTTATCCAGGCATGGTGGCATGTTCCTGTAGTCCTAGCTGTTCCAGAGGCTGAGTTGGAAAGATCACTTGAGCCCAGGAGTTCAAGGCTGCAGTGAACCGTGATTGTGCCACTGTACTCCAGCCTAGGCAACAGAGCGAGGCCCTCTTTCTCTCTCTCTCTTTTTTTAAACAAGGAAGAAAAAAGAAAAGAAAATAGGGTGGTGAGGAGGCTGGCCAAAGTGGTGATAACCTCGTGCACTAGGTCCTAGCAGCTGGTAGCAGGGGAGCCAGGAGGTGTAGCACTCTGCCTGGTAAAGCAGTCTGTCAGGGTCTGTTTGCCTGAGAGTTGACAGGCTGCAAGCACAAAAATATAAAAGGGGGCCAGGGACTTGCTAATCTTGCCGGAGAGTCGGCGCAGCTCAGTGCAAGGACTTGGGAAGGCAGGGAACTTTGAGAGAAGGTAAAAAGGAGGTGGATTCATGGAGAGGGAAGGGGAAAGTTGAGGGTTGGGGAGGTGTGGTGAGGAGCTGAGATCTTGGAGAGACATTCTTCGTTGGCCTAGGGACACCACATAAACACCTCTGTGCATGGTGGGAGGGACCAGCTCCTCCCCAAACACTGTTTAGATTTTGGCCTTGAAAACCATGACTACTAACGTTCCTTGGGTTTTCTGTGAGTGTGACCAGTCTCCTCAGCTCCCAGCTGGCACATAAAGGAGATGTGTTCTTTTCTTGCCGATGTGAGGCTACAGGATCTCATGAGGAACATCCCATGAACAAACAGTACGGCTGAGCCCTCACCTGCGTCTCATCCTAATCTTGGTCCTCCCCCAGCACACTCCCAGCTCTATCGCCTGGAGTTACAGACAAACCCGCAGACCAATGTGAAAAGCCAATTGCCCAGAGAAACCCAGCAGAGTCTTCAGCTACGCCTGACAGTCATCCGGGGTTAAACACCAGCCTGGAATTTTAGCTTCCTGTCCAGGAAAAACCAAATACATAAATCACTTCTCTCTCTCTCTCTTTTTTTTAATGGAGTCTTGCTCTGTCACCCAGGCTAGAGTGCAGTGGTGTGAGCTCAGCTTACTGCAACCTCTGCCTCCCAGGTTCAAGCGATTCTCCTGCCTCAGCTTCCTGAGTAGCTGGGATTACAGGCGCGCACCACCATGCCTGGCTAATTTTTGCATTTTTAGTAGAGACAGGGTTTCACCACGTTGGTCAGGCTGGTCTGGAACTACTGGCCTCGTGATCCACCTGCCTTGGCCTCCCAAAGTGCTGGGATTACAGGTGTGAACCACCACGCCCGGCCTAATAATTCATCTTACTACTAGAATTTCAGGCTTCCTTTTTAATTTGCTTGCTTTCTTGTTGGTCTGTGTCTTGGAACATAGGAACTTTCAATCCCTCCAATATGGGCTCCATCCAAATCTCAAGTTGAACTGTAATTCCCAGTGTTGGAGTGTTGGAGGAGAGGCCTGGTGGGAGGTGATTGGATCATTGGGGCAGATTTCCCCCTTGCTGTTCTCGTGATAGTGAGTGAGTTCCCACGAGATCTGGTTGTTTGAAAGTGTGTAGTAGAGCCGGGCGTGGTGGCTCACGCCTGTAATCCCAGCATGTTGGGAGGCTGAGGTAGGCGGATCACCTGAGGTCGGGAGTTCGAGACCAGCCTGACCAATATGGAGAAACCCCGTCTCTACTAAATACAAATTTAGCCGGCATGGTGGCACATGCCTATAATCCCAGCTACTTGGGAGGCTGAGGCAGGAGAATCACTTGAACCTGAGAGATGGAGGTTGCTGTGAGCCGAGATCACGCCATTGCACTCCAGCCTGGGCAACAAGAGCAAAACTCTGACTCAAAAAACAAACAAACAAACAAAACAAAACAAAAAAACAAAGTGTGTAGTACCTCCCCCTTCACTTTCCCTCTCTCCCACTCCACCGTGTGAAGAAGGTGTTTGCTTCCCCTTGCCCTTCTGCCCAGATTGTAAGTTTCCTGAGGCCTCCCCAAGCATGATTCTTGTACAGCCTGTGGAACTGTGAGCCAATTAAACTTCCTTTCTTCATAAATTACCCAGTCTCAGGTAGTTCTTTATAGCAGTGCTAATACACCCTGTTACAGGACTAATACACCTTCCCTCTGCTAAGTGTCTATTGATCTGAAAACACATGCTATGAAACATTAAAACGCTACCTGAGACCATGTGTTTCTTTTATCAAGTGAGAGATTCCTTTATAATTTGGATAATTTCACTCCGTTTGCAAGTAGGATGCTCTAGAACTGATGTTATAAAGTCAGTTTAATGATTTAAATCCCATTGTGGAGAAAATAGATCTCTGCAGAAAAGTACATCCCTGCCCTTTCCCAGCTCCCCAGTCAAGGGGGGGCTTCCTGCTGAGCCTGGAGAATGCCTCTAAGAAGGTGACTAATGTACCATATCTGGCCCCTAGTGTGGGCAGCAGGCAAGTAGTCAGGTGCCTTCTCAAGTGGAGAAAGTTGAACGCTATTTTCCAGAGACATTGGATGTGAGGGTGATCTGGCTATGACATCTGTCACCCCAGTGATTGCCACTGTTGATTCTGCTGATCTAGCTGGCTAGGTGGTGTCCTCTTCTTCCCTCACCACTCCATGTGCATCCCTCCTGAAGCTGTGTGCTCAGTTGAAGAGGAGGACCATCCCCAATAGAGGAGGACCAGTCTTCGGCTAAGGGTATACGAGTAGCTGCGCTCCCCTGCTAGAATCTCCAAACAAGCTCTCAAGGTCCAGAGACAAGATGTGAACTTCATGTCTCAATTGATGATCACGTGGTTGTGTGGTGGTGCAGATTGTGTTTTTGATGTGCAGCAGGATTTGGGCAGTACAGAGGATGATGTCAGCATATCACCATCATCCTCAGGTGGGGCAGATCATTATGAAGTCCTTGCCTCTGGTTTCCCTGGAGTCTAGGTGAGAGGTGCATGAGATATCCCTTGGGTACCTCCCTCCTCCCCTCAAGGTGAATGTTTCATCAACAAAATCAAGCTAATAGAAGTCTCAGGTTGTCACTTTTGGTGTCTTGAATAGGATATTTGTGTGAGAGCCCCTTTGATTAACCCATTGCCAGCCCCCTCCCACCCTGACCTCTGAACCTTCACAATATCCATCCCTTACCCTCCCCGCTGACCAAGTGGCTCTGGATCCCAGTCAGGCGCTAAAAATCTGCTATTTGTGCTTAGGTTAGCTTTACCCATAGCTGAATGGCTCTGAGGTTCACGGTGGAAGATCTCTAAGGGGGACAGTTTTGCTGCTCCTGGGATGGAATAGGTATGATGGTGATCCATCCACCTGCAAGTTCTGGTTTCCCAGTACGTATATGATTTAGAATTAGAAGCACATAATACATAGCCTTGTTACTGGCACCCCTTCCCCTAATCTTGCTTTCCCTTTGTATTAGGCCATTCTTGCACTGCTATAAAGAAATACTTGAGACTGGGTAATTTGTAAGAAAAGAGGTTTAATTGGCTCACGGTTCTGTAGGCTGTACAGGAAGCATAGCAGCATCTCTTTCTGGGGAGGCCCCAGGAAGCTTTCAATCACGGTGGAAGGTGAAGGGGGAGCAGGGATCTCACATGGCGGGAGCAGGAGTGAGAGAGAGTGATGGTAAAGGTGCTACACCTTTTTAAATGACCATATATCACAGGAACTCACTCACTATGGTGAGTACAGTGCTAAAGGGGATGGTACTAGACCATTTATGAGAAATCTGCCCCCACGATCCAATCACCTCCCACAAGAACCCACCTCCAACATTGGGGATTACATTTCAATATAAGATTTGGGCAGGGACACGGATTCAAACTGTATCACCCTTCATATCATCCTTTATAATACTATGCCAATCTGATCATGGCCAGGTTCAACTTCTTTTTTAAAGGCTTCCCAGAGACTACTGAATCTTATGACCCAAATCTCTTTGCATGGCAGACAACTTGCTGAAGAAAGCCTGTCTGGCTGGGTTCAGTGGCTCACACCTGTAATCACAGCACTTTGGGAGGCCTATTCAGTTTGCGCCTAGGAGTTCAAGACCAGCCAGGGCAACAAAGAGAGACCACTGTTTAAAAAAAAAAAAAATTAGCCAGGCATTGGGGTACATGCCTATAGTCCCAGCTACTGAGGAGGCTGAGGTGAGGGGATCACTTGAGCCCAGGAGGTTGAGGCTGCAGTGAGCTGAGATCACATCACTGTACTCCAGCCTTAGTGTCAGAGTGATACCCTGTCTTGGAAAAAAAAATAAAAAAGAAAGAAAGCCTGTCTGATTTCACGAAAGGTTTTTGCAGGACACGCTTTTAGTTTCCACAAAACAGCCACCCTCTACTTCCTTACTGGCAAAGCTTTCATGAATATTATTTATTTGCCATTTCAGTGCTGCTTTCTCAGATATAGGCATACCTTGGAGATATTGCGGGCCCAGTTCCAGTTCATCACAATAAAGGGAATATCTCGGTAAAGTAAGTCACTAAGTTTTTGTTTTCCTAGTGCACATAAAAGTTATGCTTACACTATATTATGGTCTATTACGTGTGCAATAGCATTATGTCTTAAAGAAGTACATACCTTAATTTTAAAATACTTTATTGCTAAAAAATGATAATGATTATCTGAGCCTTCGGAGAGTTATAATCCTTTTGTGGGTGGAAGGTGTGTTGCTGTCTGATCAGAGTGGGGGCTGCTGAAGCTTAAGTGGCTATGGCAATTTCTTAAATTAAGACAACAACGAAGTTTGCCACATCGATTCACTCTTCCTTTTGTGAGAGATTTCTCTGTAGCATGTGATGCTGTTTGATACATGTTACCCACAGTAAAACTTCTTTTGAAATTGGAGTCAATTCTCTCAGACCCTGCTGCTTCTTTATTAACTAAGTTTATGTAATATTCTAAGTCCTTTGTTGTCATTTCAACAATGTTCATAGCATCTTCAACAGGAGTAGATTCCGTCTCAAGAAACCACTTTCTTTGCTCATCCACAAGAAGCACTTCCTCATCTATTCAAATTTTATCATGAGATTGCAGCAATTCAGTCACATCTTCAGGCTCCACTTCTAGTTCTCTGGCTTTTTCTACCACATCTGCAGTTACCGAAGTCAGGAACCCCTCAAAAGTCATTCATGAAGGTTTGCACCAAACTTCTTCCAAACTTTTGTAAATGTTGATATTTTGACCTCCTCCCGTGAATCACAAGTGTTCTTTTTTTTTCTTTCTCTCTCTCTCTTTTTTTTTTTTTTTTTTTTTTTTTTGAGACAGAGTCTTACTCTTGTTGCCCAGGCTGGAGTGCAGTGGTGCGATATCAGCTCACTGCAACCTCTGCCTCCCAGATTCAAGCAATTCTCCTGCCTCAGCCTCCCAAGTAGCTGGGATTACAGGCCTCTGCCACCAGGCCTAGCTAATTTTTGTATTTTTAGTAGAAATGGGGTTTCACCATGTTGGCCAGGCTGGTTTCAAACTCCTGACCTCAGGTGATCCACCTGCCTCGGCCTCCCAAAGTGCTAGGATTATAGGAGTGTGTCACCATGCCTGGCTAATTTTATATTTTTAGTAGAGATGGGGTTTCACCATGTTGGCCAGGCTGGTCTGGAACTCCTAACCTCAGGTGATCCACCCACATCGGCCTCCCAAAGTGCTGGGATTACAGGTGTGAGCTACCGTGCTCAGCTCACAAGTGTTCTTAATGGCATCTAGAATGATGAATGCTTTCCAAAAGATTTTCAATGTATTTTGCCCAGATATGTCAGAAAAATCACTATCCATTGCAGCTATAACCTTACAAAATTTATTCTTAAATAATAAGACTTGAAAGTTGAAATCACTCCTTGATCCATAGGCTGCAGAATGGACACTGTGTTACCAAGCATGAAAACAACATTTATCTCCTTGTATCTCTGCATCAGAGCTCTTGGGTGGCCAACTACATTGTCAATGAGCAGTAATATTTTGAAAGAAATCTTTTTTTTCCTGAGCAGTAGGTCTCTCAACAGTGGGCTTAAAATATTCAACAAACCATGCTGTAAACAGATATGCTGTCATCCAAGCTTTGTTGTTCCATTTATAAAACACAGGCAGAGTAGATTTAGCATAATTCTTAAGAGCCAGAGGGTTTTCAGAGTGGTAAATGAGGATTAGCTTCAACTTAAAGCCATCAGCTATATTAGCCTCTAACAAGAGAGTCAGACTGTCCTTTGAAGCTTTGAAGCCAGGCAGGCATTGACTTTTCCTCTGTAGCTATGAATGTCCTAGATGGCCTCTTCTTCCAATATAAAGCTATTTTATCTACATGGAAAATCTGTTGTTTAGTGTAGTCACCTTCACCAATTATCTTGGCTAGATCTTCTGGATAACTTGATGCAGCTTCTTCATCATCACTTGCTGCTTCACCTCGCACTTTTATGTTATGGAGCTGGCCTTCTTTGGTTTGGGTGGCAAGGAGAGAAGGTTGGGGTTTGTTTTTGACATACAAATCACTTTTTAAAACTTCAACAATAACAAATTAATACTGTGTTTGTGTGTGTATGTATGTGTGTGTGTATGTGTTTAAGAGAGATAGAAAATAAATGTTTCTTATTGTTTGAAGCTACTTACTTTTGGGGCAATTTATTATGCAGCAATAGATAACAAACACAATGGATTTTCACCAAATTTTAAGGTTTGTTTTTTTTTAATTAAAAAATGACTTAAAATATATGCTATGTGGCATACAGCGTATCTAATTTAGTGGTTCTGTGGTATCACCTCAAAGAAATTAGCAGTTTTACACCAGAGCAAATTAAAGTGATGTATAATGTGAGGCTTGGAAAGATAGTCTATGCCTTTTAAGATATTGTGAATATAGAAAACAAACAGAAATTGCAAGTAGGAACCTTATATAGGAAGTTATAACTGTGAGCACTTCAAATTACAATAACTAATTTGCCATCCGGCTGCTTCTTACATGGGCAACTCCATAGAACCATTCTTAAGGCTCATTACAAACATACTTATTTATGTCAGTTGGTAACCGGGAACAACATAGGGTTCAGCTAGTCTTTGACACAAAAATATCATTAATTTGTTGTGGGAAGTCAGGGACCCTGAATGGAGGGACCAGCTGGAGCCAAGGCAGAAGAACATAAATTGTGAAGATTTCATGGACATTTAGCAGTTCCCCAAATTAATACTTTTATAATTTCTTACACCTGTCTTTACTGCAATCTCTGAACATAAATTGTGAAGATTTCATGGATATTTATCACTTCCCTAATACTCTTATAATTTCTTATGCCTGTCTTTAATCTCTTAATCCTATTATCTTCATAAACTGAGAATGTACGTCACCTCAGGACCACTATTGTACAAATTGGTTGTAGAACATGTGTGTTTGAACAATATGAAATCTGATTGTAAAACATGTGGGTTTGAACAATATGAAATCAGTGCACTCTGAAAAAGAACAAAGTAACAGCAATTTTCAGGTAACAAGAAAAGATAACCATAAAGTCTGACTGCTTGCAGGGTTGGGCAGAATAGAGCCATATTTTTCTTCTTGCAGAAAGCCTATAAACAGATGTGCGAGGAGAAATATCGCTGAATTCTTTTCCCAGGAAGGAATAACCCTGGGGAAGGAATGCATTCCTCGGGGGAGGTCTGTAGATGGCTGCTCTGGGAGTGTCTGTCTTATGTGGTTGAGATAAGGACTGAAATATGCCCTGGTCTCCTGCAGTACCCTCAGGCTTACTAGGATTGGGAAATTCCAGCCTGGTAAATTCTAGTCAGACCGGTTCTTTGGTCTCGAACCCTGTTTCCTGTTAAGATGTTTATCAAAACAATACGTGCACAGCGGGACATAGACCCTCATCAGTAATTCTAATTTTGCCTTCGCTTTGTGATCTTTATTGCCCTTCGAAGCATGTGATCCTTGTGGCTTACTCCCTGTTCGTACATCCCCTCCCCTTTTAAAATCCCTAATAAAAACCTGCTGGTTTTGCAGCTCGGGGTTGTCATCACGGTCCTACCAGTATGTGATGTCACCGCTGGAGGCCCAGTTGTAAAATTTCTCTCTTTGTACTGTTTCTCTTTATTTCTCAGACCAGCCGACACTAAGGGAAAATAGAAAAGAACCTACATTGAAATATTGGGGGCTGGCTCCCTCTATAATTTGTCTTCATACTTCATGGGGTTTTATGAAGGTCAAAGTAAATAATGTGAGGTTTTGGCAACACAAAAGAACTATACAGATGTATCACTGTGATTATATATCAATCAAGAAAGGTCAGCCAGGCGTGGTGGCTCACGCCTGTAATCACAGCGCTTTGGGAGGCTGAGGCAGGCAGATCACGAGGTCAGGAGATCGAGACCATCCTGGCTAACACGATGAAACCCTGTCTCTACTAAAAATACAAAAAATTAGCTGGATGTGGTGGCACGTGCCTGTAATCTCAGCTACTTAGCAGGCTGAGGCAGGAGAATTGCTTGAACCTGGGAGGCGGAGGTTGCAGTGAGCCGAGATCATGCCACTGCACTCCAGCCTGGCAACAGAGCGAGACTCTGTCACAAAAAAAAAAAAAAAAAAAGTCAAGTTTTGCCATGGTTAAAAAAATCTTTACTTTTTTTTTTGAGACAGAGTCTCACTCTGTCTCTCAGACTGGAGTGCAGTGGCATGATCTTGGCTCACTGCAACTTCTGCCTCCTGGGTTCAAGCAACTCTCCTGCCTCAGCCTCCTGAGTAGCTGGGATCACAGGCACCTGCCACCACCCCCAGCTAATTTTTGTATTTTTAGTAGAGATGGGTTTTCACTATATTGGCCAGGCTAGTCTTGAACCCCTGACCTCAAGTGATCTACCTGCCTCAGACTTCCAGAGTACTGGGATTACAGGCTTCAGCCACCATGCCTGGCCAAAAATCTTAAGATGTTTACAACATCCAAGATTTATTTTTGCTCATGCTATATGTATTCATTGCAGGTTGGCTATGGCCCTGTCCATGTCATCTCACACCAGGACCCAGATGGCAGAGCTGGAGCAGTGACAGGTGTCATGAGAGGAGAAAGAGTCATGGAGAACCACACACTGGCCTTTGAAGCTATTTCCTGGAAGTGATATATGTTGCTTCTGCTCACATTTGATTGGCCACAGAAGGTCACATAGCCAAACCTGATGCCAAGGAGTGAAATAATGTAATCTTCCCATATTTTTGCATTTTCTATTGTTCTTTCTTTCTTCCTGATGCTCCAAGATTTCTTCTTTATCCTCTCCTGTTTGTCTCAAGAGTTCCTTTTAGGCTAGGTGTGGTGGCTTACACCTGCAGTCCCAGCACTTTGGGAGGCTGAGACAGGAAGATCACCTGAGGCCAGGAGTTTGAGAGTAGCCTGGGCAGCATGGTGAGATCCTGCTTCTACACGCACACATGCACACACACACACACATACAGAAAAGAAAGAAAGAAAGAGAAAGAAAGAAAGAAAGAAAGAAAGAAAGAATTTCTTTTAGCCATTCTTTTAGGGTAGGTCTGCTGATGACAAATTCTTTTCATTTTCCTTCTCCTAAGAATGTCTTGATTTCCCCTTCATTCATGAAGGGTATTTTTGATGGCTACAGGATACTGGGCTGACAGTTATTTTCCTTTGGCACTTGAAAAAAATGTCATTTCCTTTTGGTTTTCATGGTTTCTGAAAAGCAATCTTCTGTCATTTGGATTGTTTTTCCTCTACAAATACTGTGTCATTTCTGATTGGTTTCAAGATTTTTTAGTTTCCAGAAGTTTAATTATGATGTGCCTCTGCATGGATTTCTTTGGGTTTATTCTGTTTGGGATTTGCTTAGCATCTTGAATCTGTTATGTTTTTTCCCCCTAAATTTAGGAAAATTTTTAGCCATTATTCCTTTCAATTCTTTTTCAGCTCCATCCTGTTTCTCCTCTCCTTCTGGGACCCCAATAACATGAATGCTAGATCTTTTGTTACAGTCACATAGTTATGTTCATTGTGGTCTGAGGTTACGTTCATTTTTTTCCTATCTATTTTCTCCCTGTTGTTCAGATTGGATGAATTCTGTTGTTCTATCTTCAAGTTTACTGAGTCTTTTCTCTGTCCTCTCCATTCTGCTGTTGTGCCCATTCGGTGAATTTTAAATTTTTATTATGGCATTTTTCAGTTCTAAAATTTCCATTTGATTCTTCTTTATATCTTCTATTTCTTTTCTGAGACTTCTCCCTTTTTTATTTGTTTCAATCATATTTACAATGACTTGTTGAAACATTTTTTATGACGGCTGCTTCCTTGTCAGATAATTGCAACATCTGTGTTATCGTGATATTGACATCTGTTGTCTTTTCTTATTCTGGTTGAGATTTTCCTGGTTCTTGGTATGGCAAGTGATTTTCAATTGCATCCTGGACATTTGGATATTATGTTATGAGACTCTGGATCCTATTTATTAATTTATTTTGAGACAAGGTATCACTCTGTCACCCAGTCTGGAGGAGTGTAGTAGTGCAATCTTGGCTCACTGAAATCTCTGCCTCCTAGCTCAGGTGATCCTTCCGCCTCAGCCCCCCAAGTGGCTGGGACTACAGGCATGTGCCACCACACCTGGTTAATTTTTGTATTTTTTGTAGAGACAGGGTTTTACCATGTTGTCCAGGCTGTTCTCAAACTCTTGAGCCCAAGTGATCCACCCAACTTGGCCTCCTAGAGTGTTGGGACTACAGGTGTGAGCCATTGCACCCAGCCTCTGGATCCTATTTAAATCTTCTATTTTATCAAGCCTCCTTGATACCACACTAACAGAAGGGTGTGTGTGTGTGTGTGTGTGTGTGTGTGTGTGTGTGTTAGGGGGTGTTGTCTGGTTCCTGCTGAGTGAGAGGTGAAGGCTTAGGTTCCTCACTTGGCTTCCATTGGTGGGGGTAGGAAACCTCAGTCCTGCTGGGTGCAGATGAGTTTTTGGGCTACTCTCTAGGCCTCTGCTGATATCATTCTGGCTAGGAGCGGGAGGGGTACCACTAGCCATGTGGTTGCCACTGATAACCTGGGGGTAAGGTGGAGGGACAGAGGCTTTATCACCACTGGATGATGGTACAAGTTCCAGCTTTCCTCTTGGCTTCCTCTACTCAGAAGGAGTGAGAGGAACACCTCACTACCACTGAGGGTGAAGAGGAAATCCAGGACCCCATGTTACCTCCACTGACACTGTGGGGTATGCTTTTCACCGTTAGTGTGAATAAATGTCTGGGCTTTTGAGATATCTTTTCAGATTTTTTTCTATGTCTGACGACTTATGGCTCCAACTGGATCCTCCAACTGCTCCTGTGGCCCCACCCAGAAGTGACTCAGCATGTATGAGGACCATTTCCCACACCCCTATGATTGCAACCAATCAGCAGCAAGCACCCATTGCCTAGCTACTCCCCTTCTTCCCCCAAACTATCCTTGGAAAACCCTAGTCTCAGAATTTTTTCTAAGAGGCTGATTTGAGCATAATAAGACTCCAGTCTTCTCCTTCGCCAGCTCTACATGTGAAAAACTCTTTCTCTACTGCAATTCCCCTGCCTTTATAAATTGGCTCTATCTGGGCAGCAGGCAAGAAGAACCCATTGGACACTTACAGTCCCAACAGTTTTAAGTTCCACTTCTCCCAACAGTAAGTAATCTGCTCATTAACACACGCTTTATTGGCTCTTCTCCCTTCCCTGTCTCACTCTTCCCAGCCCTTCACTCAGTGCCCCTCCTAAATAAACTACTTATATCCAAGTACTTGTCCCAGGATGTGCTTTTGGAGAAACCTAAAATAAAACAGTAATTTTTGTGGCTATTCATACCTATTAATGGACATTTAACTACTTACCTTTCCTTTTCTTATTTATTTATTTCTGTATTTATTTACTCATTTTTGAGACACAGTCTCACTCTGTGGTCCAGCCTGGAGTACAGTGGTATGGCTCACTGCAACCTCCATCTCTCAGGCTCAAATGATCCTCTCACCTCAGATGCCTGAGTAGCTGCGATCACAGATGTGCACCACTACACCTGGCTAATTTTCGTATTTTTTTGCAGAGACGGGGCTTCACCATGTTGCTCAGGCTGTTCTCAAACTCCTGGCCTCAAGTGATTTGCCTACCTGGGCCTCCCAAAATGCTAGGATTGTCAGAGGCGTGTGAACCACAGCAATCCCATCTTAAATAAGAGCTGGGTAAAATAAGGCTGAAACCTACTGGGCTGCATTCCCACATGGTTAAGGTATTCTAAGTCACAGGATGAGACAGCAGGCCAGCACAAAATATAGGTCATAAAGACATTGCTGATAAAGCAGTTTTCAATAAAGGAGCCAGCCAAAACCCACCAAAACCAAAATGGCGATGAGAGTGACCTCTGGTCATCCTCACTGCTACACTCCCACCAGCGCCATGACAGTTTACAAATGCCATGGCAATGTCAGCAAGTTACCCTATATGGTCTAAAAAGGGGGGCTGGGTGCCCTGGCTCACGTCTGTAATCCCAGCACTTTGGGAGGCCGAGGTAGGCAAATCACTTGAGGCCAGGAGTTCGAGACCAGCCTGGCCAACATGGTGAAACCTTGTCTCTACTAAAAAAAAATACAAAAATTAGCCAGGCCTGGTGGTGCACGCCTGTAATTCCAGCTACTCAGGGGGCTGAGGCAGAAGAATCACTTGAACCTGGGAGGTGGAGGTGGCAGTAAGCTGAGATCTCACCACTGCACTCCAGCCTGGGCAGCAAGAGTGAAACTCCATCTCAAAAATAAATAAATAAATAAAATAAAAAATAAAAAGGGGAGGCATGAATAATCCAGCCCTTGTTTAGCATATCATCAAGAAATAACCACAAAAACGGGCAACCAGCCGCCCTCAGGGCTGCTCCATGGAGCAGCCGTTCTTGTAATCCTTTACTTTCTTAATAAACTTGCTTTTACTTTGCACTGAGGACTCACCCAGAATTCTTTCTTGTGCGAAATCCAACAACCCTCTCTTGGGGTCTGGATTGAGACCCCTTTCCTGTAACAGGATTACAGCCGTGCGCCACCTCACCTGGCCTTTTTTTTTTTTTTTTGAGATGGAGTCTTGCTCTGTCGCCCAGGCTGGAGTGCAGTGGTGCGGTCTTGGCTCACTGCAAGCTCCGCCTCCCCGGTTCACGCCATCCTGCCGCTTCAGCCTCCTGAGTAGCTGGGACTACAGGGGCCCGCCACCACGCCCGGCTCGTTTTTTTGTATTTTTAGTAGAGACGAGGTTTCACCGTGTTAGCCAGGATGGTCTCGATCTCCTGACCTCGTGATCCGCCCACCTCGCCCTCCCAGAGTGCTGGGATTACAGGTGTGAGCCAGGGCGCCTGGCCTCACCTGGCCAATTCTTGATTCTATCCTGTAAACTGTCCTTGGAGTTTTCCCCAGGTGACTGCCCTCTGACTTCTTCACTTTGTGAATCAGTCCTTCACATCTTCCTCTCTTAGTAGCCCAGAAACCCCAGGTTCTAACTTCCTTGTGACACAGGAGTTAAGAAGAAATTACTTAGGTAGACAGTGAGGTTACCGAAGTTCTTGGTAAGGTTTCTCTTTTAATGGAAAGCAGGCCCAAATCATTTTTCCTTCTAACAAAGAGCAGCCTGTAAAATCGGGCTGCAGACATAGATGACGGCAGTTGTGCCAATCATGTTCAAAATGGCGGCCCCATCATCCCTTCTCTGTCAGCCACAGGTGCAGTAAGGAGCCGACAAAATGGCACCCTCCGAGAGAGTTCATTTGCATAATAAGCTTAGGGTGGGGCGGCCAGCCTTCCCAGCTATGTAAACAAACACCTGATCAAACCAATCTGTGAGTCCTAAGTAAATCAGACGCCGCCTCCTCAAGCTGGACTATAAATTCGGCTCATCTGCCTCCAGCTGCCCCTTTTCTCTCGGAAGTCCCCTCTCTCACTAGAGAGAGAGCTGTTTTCCTTTCTCTTTCTTTTGCCTATTAAACCTTCCCTCTTAAACTCCTCGCGACTCCTCGCGTGTGTCCGTGTCCTACATTTTCCTGGCATGGGATGGCAAACCCCGGGTATTTACCCCAGACAACTGGCTGCTTCACTTGCACTGGATCTTGAGGGTCGGGGAGATTTTTGACCTTTAACAGGGACTCCATCATTGCAAGTTTTCCTTGGAGACTCTTGATGGCCCAGGTTTAGTTTATACCTACTGTGAGAGCAAGAACTTGAGTAATGTATGGATGGACCTTTTTGGAAGGAAAACAATTTTCATGGACTTAAATTATTTTTATAATTTAAATGTGTGGAAACACAACTAACTATGAATTCCTTATGCTTCAGTAGTTAAGCAGTTATAAAACCAAAGCAAAGTAGCCATAGGTACAAACAAAAGTATAAAGACAAGTTTAACATTAATGTAATAAATAGTGTTTTTCTGAAATGAAGTTGCTGCTGGCAACAGACCATGTACTGCCTGATGAAGGTTCTTCCGCACTTGGCACAATATTCCACTGTGTGCCTGGCGATGACTCAATTCTTCCCCTTCTCATGTCTGTTCAAATTACTAAGAAATCTTTGTTAGAACTTGTCTCCTGGCCTTCACTTGGTACAAATGCGACCAAGACAATTAAAGCTATAAATAGGTAAATGCAAATGCAGGTACTCACAAGCAGGGCCAGGATCAGTTACAAATGACCCAAAACATGCTTATAACACTTTTCAAATGCTACTAAGGAAAGTTAGACATGGAACTTAATAGTTTTCACAGGTATTCACGAGTCCTCAGGAGTCCAGAGACCTCAGTTTGAGAACACTATCCTAGCACTGACCTTGACTTCCAGGGTGACCTTGAGGTAAGCATTTACCATTTTTGGATCTCTGTACATTTTTTGTACACAAGAATAATTTGGGCCACCAGTGTTCTTGGGAGATAAAAGAAGTTAGAGGAGTTAATGACAATGTTCCAAGATGTTCAAGGACTAGAGAGAAAGGATAAGAATGTATTATAGACCTCTAGAGTTGGAAAAAGAATGGTGGCTGAGATCCTCCAGCCTAGCTTTGGCTCTGTAATCAAAAAGACTCAGATTTGGGCCAAGCATTGTGGCACACGCCTGTAATCTCATTACACTGGGAGGCTGTGGCAGAAGGATCGCTTGAGGCCAGGAGTTTGAGACTAGCCTACGTAACATGGTGAGACCCTATCTCTACCAATCTCTACATACAAACAAAAAATGGCTGGGCGTGGTGGCTCATGCCTGTAATCCCAGCACTTTGGGAGGCGGAGGCGGGCGGATCACGAGGTCAGGAGTTCAAGATCAGCCTGGCCAACATGGTGAAATCCTGTCTCTACTAAAAATACAAAAATTAGCTGGGTGTGGTGGCGGGCACGTATAATCCCAGCTACTCTCAAGGCTGAGGCAGGAGAATCGTTTGAACCCGGGAGGCAGAGGTTGCAGTGAGCCGAGAGCGTGCCATTGCACTCCAGCCTAGGCAACAGGGCGAGACTCTGTCTCAAAAAAATAAAAATAAAAAATAACAGGACATGATGGTGCCTGAGCCCCAGCTATTTGGGAGGCTGAGGTGGGAGGATGGCTTGAGAGGTTGCATTGAGTTATAATTGTACCCCTGCACTCCAGCCTGGGTGACAGAGAGCTTGTCTCTATAAAACAAATAAACAAACAACTGAGATCTGAATTCCAGATCTGCCATTTACTGTGTGTGTATGGGGGATGGGGATGGAGAGCAACTTTTCTAACTCTCAGTTTCTACCCTAAGTGGGCATGTTTCAAAATGCCACATCACAGAACTGCTGTGTGGGCCAAATGAGATGGCTCTGGAAAGCGCTGAGAGCAGAGCCTGGCTCACAGCAAGGCTCAGGGATCCTAAGACGCTGCTGAGAATTCCACAGGCTTTTTAGCAAAGGACAATAGAAAAGAGAAAGTGAAGATTCTAACATTCTGCCTATAAATGACAACATCTCCTATATGTGCAAATTAGGTCATTGTACCCTAAATAGCCCCGCAGCTGCCCTGGGCTTCCAGTCAGCCTTTCTGACCTCTCTCTTGGGTCTGCTGCTTTGGGGTGCTTCCTGCCATTCCCTGCCCAAGCCTGAATCTCTTTCCTGGCCGCTTTCACTTTCCTTCCATTTTCCAGTAATTGGAGTTGGTCACCTGTGCAGCAAGCGCCCCCAAGTGGCCTTCCTGTTCACTGTCCGGACCATAAGGCCTAAAGAATACTCCGATAAGTTTATCAAGGCCGGGCTTCCGCAGAGGCAGGACTCACCAGGCTTAGCGGTCGGTCCAGGGTCGGTCCAGTCTGGAGGCCCAGGGAGCCATTCTACATCCCCCTTTCCATTTTGGAAGACTGAGATGGAGGAATCCAGGGGAAGTTCTGGGTAGGAAGCAGCCACTTGCCATTAAGTGGCAATTAAATTGCTATTGCAATTTAAGGTAAATCGCAGCCCCTCTGGGCCTAGTTTTCTTTTTTCTCACTCTTTTTTTGGCGATAGAGTCTTGCTCCGTCACCCAGGCTGGAGTGTAGTGGTGTGATCATAGTTACTGTTACCTCGAACTCTGGGGCTCAAGCCATCCTCCTGCCTCAGCTTTTGGGTAGCTGGGATTACAAGGTTTTCTTTTTATGAGAGCCCTGCCCCACTCATGTCAGAGGGCCCTGAGGAGGCAAACACAGGATGGTTGAAAATGCTAGTAAAACACCTAGGATGTGCACTGCTGTCCTGGCTGGAGGCTTAGGGGGAGCACCATGGGACGTACACAGGATAAAGTGGGATTAACTCCTCCCTCCCCTCAGCCATTACTCTGAACTCTGCATCCCACATGCTGCTGCCAAAAACCACTTTTAAAAGAACACAAATCTAAACATGTCATTTCCCAGCTCAAAACCCCAAGGTTCTTTCTCCTCACCTTCAGAATAAGCCAAACTACTCAATGATAGGTTCCAAATCTGCCTTTCTGGTTTCACTCATGGGATGGACCCTTCTTCCAGGTGAGGCTGCATTTGGACATAGCCATATTCACGCCTCCCTGCCTTGGCTCCTCCGCTTCTCTGGCCAGGAATGGCCTTGCCTCATCTCTGCAAATCTTAGCATGACTTAAGGCCCAGTTCAAGCTCCAGCTCCTCCCTGAGGTCTTCCTGAGTCTTGTCTCCTGTCCCACTCAGGAGGACCTGGCCTCCTCCTTCCCTGGGTTCCCATGACCCTTTCCAGCTCTGCCTGTAGCACGGTGTTCTGTCTTCTGTGACTACATATATACGCCTAACACTCTCTAGATTGTAAAGGCCTGGAAGGTGGGGAGTGGGTTCCATTACTGAATGCATCTTTCATAGCTCTCGCTGTCAGAGCCCTGCCCTATGCAAACTCTTTTATTTTTATTTATTTATTTATTTATTTATTTATTTTGAGAGGGACTTTCACTCTTGTATCCCAGGCTGGAGTGCAATGGCGCATTCTCAGCTCACTGCAACCTCCACCTCTCGGGTTCAAGCGATTCTCCTGCCTCAGCCTCCCAAGTAGCTGGGATTACAGGTAACCGCCACCATGCCTGGCTGATTTTTTTGCATTTTTAGTAGAGACAGGGTTTCACCACGTTGGTCGGGCTGGTCTCGAACTCCTGACTTCAGGTGATCTGCCTGACTCGGGCCTCCCAAAGTGCTGGGATGATAGGCATGAGCCACTGCACCTGGTGCCCTATGCAAACTCTTATTTTATTATTATTATTTTTTGAGACAGAGTCTCCCTCTGTCACCCAGGCTGGAGTGCAGTGGTGTGATCTTGGCTCACTGCAACCTCCACCTCTCAGGTGCAAACAATTCTCCTGCTTCAGCCTCCCAAGTAGCTGGGGTTACAGACGCGCACCACCACACCCAGCTAATTTTTTTCTATTTTTAGTAGAGATGGGGTTTCACCATGTTGGCTAGGCTGATCTCAAACTCCTGACCTCAGGTGATCCACCCACCTCGGCCTCTCAAAGCAAACTCTTAATAACAACTGTTGTGGAATGACTTGGGAGGTGGCACTCAGAGATCCCAAGTGACACATGAGAAGTCCACAGAGAGAGATCATGTTTAGTGGAGTTTGGATGGTTGCTTTTATCAGTGGGCCTGTACCTTACAGATGCTATCTCATTATCTTCTAAACAGACTCTGGGCCAGTGACCATTATCTCCCTCTTACTGATGTAGACTCAGCCAAGAGAAGCCAGATGTTGAGTCGGAACCTTAACTCTCCCTCTCAGACGCAGAGCCCTGCTTTCTCCCCTCCCATTTGATACTCTGCTTCCTCTTGCATGCTGTGAGAGGCGGCCTCATTACTCCTCTTCCCTCCTCCAGTCCCTCCAAGCCTAATTCATCACCTTTGGCTTTGGGATCATAGTTTCCAAACCAAGGATTGTCTGAACATTGTCTGACAATGCCCTTTTTTTTTTTTTTTAGGCAGGGTCTTGCTCTGTTGCCCAGGCTGGAGTGCAGTGGTGCAATCATGGCACACTGCAGCCTTGACCTCCCGGGCTCAGGTGATCCTCCCACCCAGCCTCCTGGTGCGCATCACCACATCCAGCTAATTTTGGTATTTTTTGTAGAGATGGGGTTGTGCCATGTTGCCCAAGCTGGTCTCGAACTTCTGGGCTCAAGCGATCAGCCCTCCTTGGCCTCCCAAAGTGCTGGGATTATAGGCATGAGCCACCGCAACTGGCACCATTGCCATTGGTATTTAAGAGGTGATGGTTTAGGCTTTGAAATTGGGGTTGTTTGTGAAAACTGAGAGCACCTTTTGTTTTCAGATATTTCCTATGGCCATTGGTGTAATTGGAGGGAAGCTCTCGCCATATATAATATTTTTGAGACAGCCAACTAAGAAACTGGGATTCTGGTTCTCTCCAGGGTGCAAAATCCTGGGAGAAGGAAGTGAATTCTCAGGGGCCCAGAAGGAGTCTCTAAAGGACCTCTGCCAGTCAATTCTAATCTCTCTTCTCCCCTGCAAATCAGCCCCTGCTTCTGCCTCTTTCTCCGCCTCTCCTAGATTCTCCCCCTCTGGAGGGCCTGAGCTCCCGGCCACCACCCCCAATGCCGCTTTCTGTTTCCTCTGCCTCCCTTCATCTCCTTTTGTCTGGGGTTTCTTTGTCTGGGGTCTCCCTTTGGTTCTGTTTCACAGTTCTCAGCCTCCCCTCCCTTTCTCCACAGCCAGGCTGCTCAGTCCCTCTCTGCGGGGGCCTAGAGGCTCGGTGAGGGGAGCGGGACTTGGTTGCCATGGTCACATTGAAGCCAGCCGCAGCTGGCCCGGGCAGCTGCTCCTCCTGGGCCCGGGGCCCCGGACGCTCGGACAAAGCCAGGCAGCGTTGGCAGCCCCAGACCCGACCCCAAAGGCCTGAGACTGGGGTGACTGGGACCTAAGAGAATCCTGAGCTGGAGGTGAGAGGGGGGAAGCCAGAGATGAACTGGGAGGGCAGGAGTGGGCACTGGAGCTGGGCCCTCCCCTTGTGGGCAGGGACCAGGCGGTCCCCGGCTGGAGGCTGGAGGTGTGTTGGGAGGAGGGGAGCGGCCCAGAGCCTGGCAGGGAGGAGGGGAAAGAGAGGGAATAGAGTTGGGTGCCATGGTGTGGTGAATGGGCTGAGGGACTAGGGTGTCCCCAAAGGGGGACCGTTGTCCAGAAACAGGTTAGATTCTCTCTTTGGTCCTCATGTCCCCATCTGTCCCGCAGGTGCCTCTTCCTTTCTCAGCCTTTTATACTTCTCATCTCCCCGTGTCCCTTAGCTTCACACTCTGCGCCCCAGTCTCCCTCCTCTTTCCCTCCACTCTCTGTTTCACTCCAGCCCCTTCTTCCCTTGTCCTTGCTTCTTGTCCCCTTGATCTGTCTGCCCAGCTCTCAAGCCTCCTCAGTTCCCTGCCTTCCTCTCTTAGGAGTTTGTTTCCAACACTGTTTCCTTCCCGAGTCCACTTCAGTTCCTTCATCCAGTTCAGCCCTTTTCTTCCCAAACTTCAGTCTCCTCCTCTGAGCCCCTGGGGCTTCCCACCTTTTGCTGTGTGTGCCCTGTCTTCATCCTCCTTTTCCTCTCTCAGACCTGTCTCCTTGGCCTTGACCTCAGTCCATCTCCGTCTCTCTGGGAATTCTCTCACCATTGTCCCCATCTGACCATCAGCCTCCTCTCCCTCTTCTGGTCCCTTGCCCTTTTCTTCCCCAACCACAGCTGAGCTGTTTCATCTCTCTCCCAGAGCTACGTCATCTCAATCTCCTCCTTCGCTCCCTGGCCTCAGTTTCCAGTTTATTCAGTGGCATCAGGTCTGACTCACACCCAAAGCCTTGTACACTCCTTCACCCTGCCCCCCACCCGTCGCTTCTTACTCTCCCCAGCTGCTGACCCAGCCTGCTCCTCCAGAGGCAGCTGCAGCTCCCGGAAGGGGACTGCAGCTAGTGTATGTGTGGGGGCCCATCTGGTCCGTCCTCTCGCTCGCTGGTCGTGCTGGGCTTCCCTCCTGTGGCCAGGTGGTCTGCAGGCCTGAAGCTGCCTTCTCCCCTCTCCTACGTGCCTCTCCTCACATTTTTTCAGCTGTTTCCCATCCTCTCCTTCCTGGGCAGCAGGCTGCCACTGGCTTGAAGGGGAGGGAAGCCCAGGATGGGAGGGGATGGTAGAGGGTCATTTGGGGGTTCTCAGGGACACAGGGGGCCTCTGGGGTTCGGAGTGATGCAGGAGATGTGGAATGGGCTCTGGGGACCACGGATGGGTAATCAGGCCCTCTTGGTCTTTGGTGCTGCTCTCTGGGCCCCAGGATGGCTGGGATTTCCCTCTCAGGCCCCTGGGAATCTCGGCTCCGAGTCCCGCATTCCAGCTGGCTCCAGCTCCCTTTCCGTTGTCACTTGACTCCACTGGGCCCCAGCCTTGCATCCCTCCCACTCCTCCAGCCTAGAGCTGGGGCGAGGTGGGCATCACCACTAGGAATTTCTCCTGAGGCAGTGAGAAGAGGGGACAAAGGTTTCAGGACTCTCTAGCTCCTTCTGCTCTCCCCAGTGGACCCCTCTGTCTGGCACTGCCATGCCACTTAGCTGGGGTCAGCGTGGGCCTGGGGTGTGGAATGTCCCACCAGGGTATGACGGGCTGTAGCTTGCCTGGCAGGCCTGTTGGGGCTTTCCCAGAGCACAGCTCCTGGAAGGAGGGGCTGTGGGCTGCCAGGTGAGGTGACTTGGGAAGCCTTGGCCCCACCCCCAGGCTGGCCCCACCCCCAGTCCAGCGTCTCCTGGGCCTAGATTCCCCAGCTGCTGTTCTCTGGAGGGGTAGGTGTTCTGGGGGAATGAATCCCTGGGGGCTTGGTGGGACAGGAAGGCGGGAAGAAGCTGCTCTTCGAGTGACCCTGGGGCTGTCTGTTAGCAGGTCCCTCAGCCGTTGGAACGTCCTTGGGCTTCTGAACTAGTGCCCATGTGTGCCTCGGCCTTTCCCAAGGGCCAGCTTCTTCCTGGTAGTGCTTTTGTGTACTTGTCTGGTTGGGACTTCGTGTTTCTTTCTTGGGATTGTTGTCTGGGACTGCAAGCAGGGTATGTTTTTATCTACTGTGAGGTTCCTGGGGCGGAGATGTGCAGTGGAGCGAGAACTTCCTGTGACCGTGACATTGTCTAGGTGGTGAGCAGGTGTGGGGGTGTGGAGAGAGGTGAGGGGCTGAGGTAGTGCTGAGTGGGGAAAAAGCACCTCCCACCACAAGCTGTTCTGTCCCGCTCCATCCTCTGCCCAGTAGCTCTCTCAGTTGCTTTGCCTACTCAGTCTCACTGTTTCATCTTCCCTGGGTCTCTTGGTCCCCTTCCTTTTGACTGTGTGTGATTTTCAGTGTGCCTCCATCCTTCTCCTGCTCCTCTTCTTCCTCCTCCCGACCACTCAACTTTGTCCTGGCCTCATTTTTGGCCTCTTCTGGCCAGTGATCAGACCCTCTGGCCCACTACGGCCAGAGCTGGCTGGGCCTGAGGGAGGCTTGCCCTGAGGACTCCTGAGTCCCCCTCCCACTCCACTCCGTTGGGAGCCCAGGGGAATCAGGGCCTGGGCGTCTGGACCCCCGGGTCCCTTAGAACGCCCTTCAGAGAGAGGAACTGAGAGGAGAAGGAGAAGAGAGTGGGCCCGCCTTCAGGGTCTGGGGCCTTCCAGGTTGGGTCGTAGGGGCGGGAGCGCACAGGCTGCGAGAGAGGAGCAAAGGTTGGTGGAGGGAGAAGAGCAGTCTGGGGCCTGGCTGGACAGGTGAGCCCTGAGACCTGAGCTCTGCTCCCTTCTCTGGGCTAACTCCCGCAGCTGGGCTGGGCCGAGCCTGTGGGAACCTGCTTCTTCCTCTGTGCCCTGGGGCTGCTCCCCTTTGCCTCTCCCACCAGGAACCGATCCCAGAAGTAGGAGGGGCGTCTTCCCCTCGTGGGCCCTGAGCGGGACTGCAGCCAGCCCCCTGGGGCGCCAGCTTTGGAGGTTCTCGTTTGGGGAAGCGGGGGTGGGCTGCGAGTGGGTGGAGGGGGCTGGGCGCGGAGCCGGCCGGAGGCAGCGGCGCGGGCGGCTGGGCGGCCTGGGAGCGCCCAGGCGGGCTTGGCGGGCGGGTTACCTGGGGGAGGCCGGGCCGGGCGCTAGCGCGCGGGGTGGGCGTGGCGGGCGCGGGGCCTGGAGCTCGGCGCCGGGCGTGGGAGCCACTGGGACTACTGGGTCCGGGAGGGGGAAGGGAGGGCTGCGAGCCCGAACGCGCGGCGAGAAGGCCGAGGGGAGGGAGGGGAGCGAGGAGCGGGAGGAGGAAGGGAGGGAGCCGAGGCGAGGGGGAGGCGGCGCCTGGGCCCGAGCCGCCCCAGCCCTGGCTCCTCTCCCCGGAACAGGCCCCCGACAGCTGCTCTCGGGAGCCGCCTCCCGACACCCGAGCCCCGCCGGCGCCTCCCGCTCCCGGCTCCCGGCTCCTGGCTCCCTCCGCCTCCCCCGCCCCTCGCCCCGCCGCCGAAGAGGCCCCGCTCCCGGGTCGGACGCCTGGGTCTGCCGGGAAGAGCGATGAGAGGTAGGGAGAGCGGCGGCGGAACCCGCGGGCGGAGGCCTGGGGCTCTTGGGGTGGGGGCGCGCGGCGGCGCCTGCAGGGCGAGGGGCGGGGGAGGCAGGACGTCCCGAGCCATGCTTGGTCGTCCAGCTCTTCTAAGCCTCCCTGCCCGCCTCCCCGATGCTCTGGCATACCGTCTGAAAACCGGGGGCGGGGACTGGGTGGAGGTGAAGCCCGTGACCTCCCAGAAAGAGTTTTGAGCCTCCAGCCTTGAGGCAAGTCCCCTCTCACTCAGTGCGGAGGAACTGAGCCCCGGGAGGAGGTGCTCCTGTGCAGCCCCACTGAGTCAGCTCATCTATCGCCTGCCCTCCACCTGGCCAGTCCCTGCGGGCATCTAACTGCTAAGCCTCCGCTCAGCCAACACCCAGTTGGTCAGTCTGGTCACAGTCCAGCAAAAAGAGGGACTGCCACTCTAACCCACCAGTGACACCACTCTTCCCGGCTGGATGGTCAATTAGCTCTGGCATGAGAGAATGTCACTGCCGGTGAGCGCCAGCTTCAGGGTCCCACCCCCCCATGCCTGGCTCTTGGCTGAACATTTCTTCCCAGCGCTTCCAGCAGCCAGAGGCAGGCGCCCAAGCTCGCTGGCTGTTGCTGAGGGCCTGTAGGTGTGTCCAGGACTGAGTGGTGTGGTGGAGACAGGTGAAAGGGGAGTGAGTGGAAAGGCAGGGAAAGGCTGTTGTCCTTATTGCCACTCTTCCCACCCAGCGCCCACCTGTTCCCTGCCCCCTCGACGTCCCTCTGGCTTGGTCACCCATGTGTGTTAGAGGCTGGGCCCCAGTTCTCTGGGGATCCTGTGCCCAAGGGCCCGGGTGTGTGTGTCTCATGCTGTCTTTTGGTCACAGGAGCATGTGGTGTCTGTCATTTCATGTTCACAGGTGTCTGAAGGTGGCTATTCACTGAGCGATGGGGTTGGACTTGAAGGAATGCCAAGGTGTGGACGGGTTGATGTATGCATGAGCTTCTGTGTTTGCTCTGTCTCAGAAACTCTGTGAGGGTTGTCAGGGACACTGAGAGGTGGGTGTGTGCATGCCACATTTAGCCTCGCTGTTTACAGCCAGTTCAGTAAGTTTGTGTGTTTCACCGTGTGTGTGTGTACAGAGCTGTGTGGGTGTTGTCTGAGTGGGACTTGGGGGTTGGGAGAGGAGCGTGAAGGGCTTGAGGCAGGGTGGCCTGGCCCCTGGTTTGTCTTTGGTTGTAATGGAGTGGAAGGGGGTGGGATTGGGGAAGGTCTTCTGGGCTTGTCCTCTCTTGCCCTCTGGGTCTCTGACTGTGGACTGAAGACCCAGTGGAGAGAGATGAGGTGACTGGGGGTGTTGGAGAACAGACAGCCCAGACGTCTCTGTGCTTCTCCGTGTTCCTCTGCTTGGCTCTGTGCCCCGTGTTTCTGAGCCTGCTCTATTTACCTCTTGCATTGTGGCTCTCGCTCTGTCTCCGCCTGCCTCGTATCCTCTGCCTGCCTTTGTATCTCTGCCCCGGGCTCCTCTCGGCTCTGTGTGGCTCTGATGACTCATCTGGGATAGGCATGAAGGTTACTTAGGGGAACAAGAGCCCCGCTGTTCCCGAGAGAGGTGGGGTTGGAGAGCGGCACCCAGGAATTCCAAGCCAGTCTCCTGGGACTCTGGCAGCCTGCTCCCCGGCGCTGGACCCTAAGGGACCAGGCGTGATGCCTTCTGGTTCTAGCCTCTGAGTGCCCCCCACAACTCAGTCGTCCCCCTCAGCTGCTGCTTCAGAGCTCTGGGGTCTCAGCTGCCTCTTACATTCCTGCCCTAGTGCATTGTGGGAGCAGCTGGAGGAGGACAAAGGGATGGGGGAGTATCCCCCACTCCTCCTACCTCCTGGGGTGACCTGCCTTCCTTGTCTTTAGACCCGCCCTCGTCTCCAAGGCAACTCAGCCTTTCCTCAGTCCCTCAGAGGCAGCCACCTTCTGGAAGTGGGAACTGGGGGGACTGGATGTCTGGGTCTCAGGAAGGCAGAGCAGGGATAACTGGGCCCAAGATGCCCTGAACCTGATAAGAGGTGGCAGTCGAGTCCCTCAGGACTCCAGGGCCTGGAGACTTCAGTACAGGGCTCTGAGACCAGTACAGGTTAGGATAGCTTTTCCTGCAGCAGGGGAGGGGAGAGTAGTTACTTGGGTTTGTAAGGAGATGCCATTTAGAATAGTTTTATGTGGGGTAAGCTTCCTGGGCCTGAGGAACAGAGTAGGGATTTTCAAACTTTAATGGGCACAGGTCACCTGGGAATTGTGTTAAAAGGCAGATTTTGATTGAGCAGGTCAAGGGTGAGCCTGAGATTCTGATTTCTTCCATGCTTCCAGGTATTGCTGATGGTCCAGGGACCACCCTGGGCCTAGAGGGCTATAGGGGACAGTAAGACTAGAAGGTGCTGGGGTCCCCTCTGCCCTTCTCTTAGAATTCTGGACTCCTATGTGGGAGGGCAGCAGGGTGAGCTGGTCCAGGCTTATCTGATGTTTAATTCTATCATATCCTCAACAAGGAATTGCCCAACCTTTCCTGGGACATATTTATTTTTTAAAAGTCAAAATGATTTTCATATTCTTTTACATATCTTATGATTTTACATAAATGCATTTATGTTACAAGATTTAGAAAAATAGTACAATCAACCTGTCTTTTTAAATTTGCTTTTCTTTTGCCCCGTTCATGTTAACTCTTGTTATATTGTATTCTATTGTTATATTCTATTATATATTCTCTCCTTCTAGACGTACACACAGGTATATATACAAACATGGGTGCTTGTTTATTCTATTTTCAAAAGGTGGGATATTTTTTATACTTCTGTTGCTTGCTTTTCATATTCAACAGATATACATGGAAATCACACAAAGTTAGGAATATATTGCCTCTTTGTTACTTTTCATAGCTGCATAGTAGTCAATAAACCTTATTTTTTTTAATTCCAGCCTGTCCCCTGTGGGCATTCACATATCTTACAGATTTATGTCTTACAAAAGGTACCATAATAAACATCTTTGAAATCTTCTTTTTTATTTTTATTTTTCACTTTTTTTAAAGAGATGGGGTCTCACTATGTTCACCAGGCTGGTCTCTAACTCCTGGCCTCAAGTGATCCTCCCATCTCGGCCTCCCAAAGTGCTGGGGTTACAGGCATGAGCCACCAGACCCAGACCTGCACATATGTTCTTACTTCCTGGTGCTTCTCTCTCGAGGGAATGCTGGGTCGAAGAGGATGTGCATTTTTAATTATAATAGACATTGCTAGATTGCTTTCCAAATAGAAGATAACACTCATTTCTGCCATTGAGCATGGTGCCTCCCTTTTCATCACTTTCTACCACTTTTATATGTTACAGCCTTAAAAAAATATCTTGTCAGTCTGCTTGGTATTTCCCTGAGGCTGGTGAATTTGACCATTAAAAAAAATGTTTGTTGGCAATTTGGCTTTGCTTTTCTGTGAAATGACTATTCACATTCTTTGGCTGTTTCTTTATTGGGTTACTTATATATTTTTTCTTGTCAGTTCCTAAGGGGCCTTAGTTTATTGTAGTTATTAAACCTTTTCCTGTTGTATGTGTTATAAACATTTTTTGCACACTTGTTGTTTGTTCTAAGCCGTTGTTTATGGGGATATTTTGCCCATTCCTGATTGGAGAAATGGGGCTTTAGGAAGTTATTTAACTGATCTCTGCCCTAGTTTCTTCATGTGTTAAATATGGATAGTAATAGTATCTACCTTATGAAGTGACTGTGAAGATAAAATTATGGATTCTGTTTAAGGGTTTAGGCCAGTGTCTGGCACAGGGGAAGCATTCTAAAAATATAGCTGATGCTGTTAAACAATGACTGTTGTTGTTGTTTTACTGTTATTATCCCCAAAGCGGCCCATTCTGTCTGTTGCTGTCAGCTATGACTCAGTCCCCTGATTAACTTACGCACCACCCATTTTATCCCCTGCAGAGATGCTGCCCCCACCCCCTTAGGCCCGAGGGATCAGGAGCTATGGGACCAGAGGCCCTGTCATCTTTACTGCTGCTGCTCTTGGTGGCAAGTGGAGATGCTGACATGAAGGGACATTTTGATCCTGGTGAGGAGACTGAATCATGGGTCCCTGAGGGCCAGGGCTTGGGAGGTAGAGAGTTGGGGGCCTTGACCTGTTACATGCCTGCTTTTTACTCAGCCAAGTGCCGCTATGCCCTGGGCATGCAGGACCGGACCATCCCAGACAGTGACATCTCTGCTTCCAGCTCCTGGTCAGATTCCACTGCCGCCCGCCACAGCAGGTACTTGGCACACCTGGCACACTTGTAGCTGCCCCGAGAGGAGCTCCTGGGACCTCTACTTCCCCTCCAACCCCTCTGCCCATGCCAGTGAAACCCCTGCAGGCTGAGGGGGCAAATGAAGTGGGGTTTAAATACTGGAGATGGAGGCAGACCTGGGGCCAGATGTTCTCTGTGCCCCTCTTCACCCTCAGGTTGGAGAGCAGTGACGGGGATGGGGCCTGGTGCCCCGCAGGGTCGGTGTTTCCCAAGGAGGAGGAGTACTTGCAGGTGGATCTACAACGACTGCACCTGGTGGCTCTGGTGGGCACCCAGGGACGGCATGCCGGGGGCCTGGGCAAGGAGTTCTCCCGGAGCTACCGGCTGCGTTACTCCCGGGATGGTCGCCGCTGGATGGGCTGGAAGGACCGCTGGGGTCAGGAGGTGAGACTGGCAGGGGCAGCACCCAGAGGAGGTTGGCTCTCCTCACTTCCAGCTGTACTTTAAACACCACCTATACGCTGACGACTCTCCAGTTTATATCATCTCCAGACTAAGCCTCTCAGCTGAGCTCCAAACAATATTGTAAACCTGGCCACCTTTTGGATTTCTCCACTTAGATGTCTTTTTTTTTTTTTCTAATAGATGGGGTCTTGCTGTGTTGCCCAGGCTGGTCTTGAACTCCTGGGCTCAGTGATCCTCCCACCTTAGCCTCCCAAAGTGCTGGGATTACAAGCACTGTAGCCAGCCACCTAGATGTCTAATAGGCATCTCAAACGTACGTTTAACTTCCCAAGCTGAATTTGATTCCCATTCCCAGCCTAAACCTGCTCCTCCCCTGGCATTCTCCAGCTCAGGAAGTGGTATCACCATTGCCTGGTTGCCTAGGCTATAAGTTAAGATGATATCCTTGATTCCTTTTTTTCTCTCACCTCCTTCCAAAGCATCAGCAGCCCCGTCTGTTCTACCTCCATAGTGTTCCTGAGTCCAGTCACTCCTCACCACTCCACCTCTACTGCCCTAGGCCACCTGCCCGCCATCTCCAGCTTAGATGAGTGCAGTAGATGCCAAACGCGTCTCCCTGCTTCTGCCCTTTTCTGCCTGGAGTCAAATCTCCACCTGGGGGGGCGGCATCCAGTGGACCTTAGAGCATGTAAATCAGATACGTCACACCTAGCTGACACCCCCATGCTGGCTTTCCACTCTGCCAGAACAAAAGCTGAGTCCCTAGCTGGTGCAGGATGCTCAGCCTGACCTGGCTCCTGCCTGCATCACTTGTTTCTTGGCGCCTCCTTGGCCACGCTGCCTTTCTTCTTGTTGCTGGAACAAGCCAGGGCTCGTTCCCACAGCTTCTGGACATTTTCTCTGTGCCTGCAAAGCTCCTCCCCTAAATAACCACAGGCTCTCCCTCACTCCATTCAGTTCTCTGCCAGGTGTCACCTCCTTAGAGAGCCTTTTCTGGCCACCCACCTCACTGCTCTGTCCATACTTCCTGCCTCTTGTTCTTCGCAGCTGTTTTCCCTGCTGGGATCTCAGTCCTACAAGGGTGGGGAGTGACGTTCACCACTGAGAACGCGCCTGGCACAGAGCGGGCACTCAGCCAACTTCTGCTGAATGAACAGAGGGAATGGGCTGAAATGAAGGGGAAGCTGAGGCAGGGGTGCAGGGCTGTGAGGATTGGGGAGAATCTGGGCACAATGGGATGATAGGCTTGGAGACAAATGGATGGAGCCAGGCAAGGAGAAGAGGGCAGCTGAGCCTGAAGTCTGAGGATGGAACATCAGAGCTGCGACAGAGCCAGAGGTCTCAGCTGCAGATCTTCATTTCACCCATGCCTGGCTGCGCCCCACAGTGCTGTGTGCTCGGTGCCACCCCTCATGGGTCTCTAAGTGGCCACTGTGGGCTGGGCCAGGGAGCAGCTGGTGGGTGGGAAGTAAGATCTGACCTGGACTCCATCCCACCCACCCCCTGTTTCCTGGCCCACAGGTGATCTCAGGCAATGAGGACCCTGAGGGAGTGGTGCTGAAGGACCTTGGGCCCCCCATGGTTGCCCGACTGGTTCGCTTCTACCCCCGGGCTGACCGGGTCATGAGCGTCTGTCTGCGGGTAGAGCTCTATGGCTGCCTCTGGAGGGGTGAGTGGCTCAGCTTCCTGGGAATCTGTTTCCTGAGCAGGGGACTGGAGGGTGGGGAGTGTGGAGAATGGGCATCCAGGATCCCTTCTCCTGCTGGGAAGCTGTCACTCTGAGGAGGGGGCTAGCCAGCATTGTCTCCTCCATGCCAATGAGCCAGTGGAGAGATACAAGAAGGGACCTGAAACCTGCCCAGGCCTGATGCAGGGATGGGGGATGGAGCCTTAGTGCCTCTGACCCCCATCCTCTCACCCTGCCCCAGATGGACTCCTGTCTTACACCGCCCCTGTGGGGCAGACAATGTATTTATCTGAGGCCGTGTACCTCAACGACTCCACCTATGACGGACATACCGTGGGCGGGTAAGAAAGGCCCCTGCAGGATATGGAGTTTGGGGTGGGAGGGAGGACTGTGTGTGTGTGTGTGTGTGTGTGTGAGAGTGTGTGTGTGTAGGGGGGCTGGTAAGTAGGGTGGGGAGTGAGATGGAAGAGCTGAGAAGAGGGATGGGTTAGGTGGGGCCTCAAAGGGTAGCACTAGGGTGACCACTAGCCCGTATGACACTGTATGAAAAAGGCACCCCTTTGCTAACACACATTGTTGGAAATTGCTGCAATAAATATACACATCATAGATTGAAATGGTGCCCCTTAGAGGTGGTGCCTTTGTGCTGGATGTGACCTGCAAGGTACCTGTAGTGCTGGGGTGGGGTGGAGAGAGGAGAAGGGCCAGCTGCATGAGTGTGAGGTGGGATGGGAATGGGACTAGTGGATGGGAGCCAGGCTGGCCATGCCACTGTGCCGGAGGGTGGCGGAGCAGAATGCCTGGATGTCAAGACCCTCTTCCCTTCCAACCTCCTCTTCCTTGGTCCCCTCTTCTCCAGACTGCAGTATGGGGGTCTGGGCCAGCTGGCAGATGGTGTGGTGGGGCTGGATGACTTTAGGAAGAGTCAGGAGCTGCGGGTCTGGCCAGGCTATGACTATGTGGGATGGAGCAACCACAGCTTCTCCAGTGGCTATGTGGAGATGGAGTTTGAGTTTGACCGGCTGAGGGCCTTCCAGGCTATGCAGGTGAGTGAGTCCGGCTCTCGAGGAGGGCTCTGAAGCCATGCAGGGTGCCGTTGGGGTGCCCCCACCACTCCTAGCCTTGACCCTGTGCCCTCTTCCCTTCCCCCCAGGTCCACTGTAACAACATGCACACGCTGGGAGCCCGTCTGCCTGGCGGGGTGGAATGTCGCTTCCGGCGTGGCCCTGCCATGGCCTGGGAGGGGGAGCCCATGCGCCACAACCTAGGGGGCAACCTGGGGGACCCCAGAGCCCGGGCTGTCTCAGTGCCCCTTGGCGGCCGTGTGGCTCGCTTTCTGCAGTGCCGCTTCCTCTTTGCGGGGCCCTGGTTACTCTTCAGCGAAATCTCCTTCATCTCTGGTAAGCCCTGGAGTAGCCCAGTCTCCAGTCCCTGAAATTGACAACTGATTTCATTCCTAACCCTGCAGTGTCCCTAAAATACTCATTCCTTGCATTATATCTACCCATCACCCACCGAAACTTCTCAATTAGGGGTGCCCCAAATAACTTGAGCCCCTTTCTGCCTCTTGTTCTCTGCGTATCCATCTTTCCTTTGTAAGCCCCTTGCCCGTGACTATTATTGAGCCAGTATGACAGTACTGGTTGTTAAAATATTGAAATACTTCTGTATTAGTTGAGAAATAGCCTCTTCTCTAAGCCTCCAGATACCTGTCCTCCACCTCCCCACAATCCAGCAACTATAGGGTTAACACCCACCACAGCTGGGTGTTCCAGGACCCTGCTCCCCCAGCCCCCACTGGTCAGTGGTTGCCTATTGAGAATCACCCATGCTTCTGCTCCTTTGCACAACAGTCCACTGCCTCTGCCTCCCTTGGGTCTCCTCCTCATTTACCTCCCTCCTTTCTTTTTGTTCCTTCTCCCCAGATGTGGTGAACAATTCCTCTCCGGCACTGGGAGGCACCTTCCCGCCAGCCCCCTGGTGGCCGCCTGGCCCACCTCCCACCAACTTCAGCAGCTTGGGTGAGCAATCTTGGGTGGGCGTGTGGACCCTCTGCACCCTTCTCCCTGGGCCTCCCCCTCGGCTAGGGTGGGACCCTCCTGTGGTGCTGACCCTGCTGCCTCCACCAGAGCTGGAGCCCAGAGGCCAGCAGCCCGTGGCCAAGGCCGAGGGGAGCCCGACCGCCATCCTCATCGGCTGCCTGGTGGCCATCATCCTGCTCCTGCTGCTCATCATTGCCCTCATGCTCTGGCGGCTGCACTGGCGCAGGCTCCTCAGCAAGGTGGGCACAGCCGTGGCATGTGGAGTGGCGGGGGGAGGCCAGGCCCCAGCACGAGCCAGCGTCCAGTGGGACCTGCAGGGCACAGCCCACTAGCATCCCAAGAGGAGGGCTTAGTAAAGAGACCACTTACACCATGTCAAAGAGGGTATGGGGCTCACAGGGAGGGCTGCTCCCCAGCTCTGGGTCTGCTCAGCGGAGAGGAGCAAATACCACGACCCAGAGGAGAGAGCCTGTGGAGAGGGCACCTTGACAGGGGCAGTAGACTTTGGTCCTGGGATGCAGCTGGCCCGTATCTACCCCTCAGGGAGGGCCTGGGAGAATAGATGCCCTGACCTCACTTTCTGCCCCAAACTCCTGCTGGGCTCCTCTCTGGCTAACCCAAACCAGGCCTGTTGGTGCAGTGTACACTGGTCAGCCTTGGGGCAGAAGCAGGGTAGAGACAGGCAGAGAGTGGGGTTGGAGGGGCAAAGGGAAGACGTCTGGCACACCCCAAGCCACGTCTTCCGGCTGGAGTCCAGTGGCAGTAATATACATTAAGGTTGATGACTGGACACGGTGGCTCATGCCTGTAATCCTAGCACTTTGGGAGGCCGAGGCGGGAGGATCACCTGAGGTCAAGAGTTCGAGACCAGCCTGACCAACATGGTGAAATCCCATCTCTACTAAGAATACAAAATTAGCCAGGCATGGTGGCTGATGCCTGTAATCCCAGCTACTCAGGAGGCTGAGGCATGAATCTCTTGAACCTGGGAGGCGAAGGTTGCAGTGAGCTGAGATCATGCCATTTCACTTCAGCCTGGGCGACAAGAGCAAAATTCCATCTCAAAAAAACAAACAAACAAAAAAAAAACGGTTGATAGTTATGGACTGGGCAGATGAGGGTTAGAATCTCATTGTGGGACAGGGAAGTTACCTCCATGCTCTTGAGCTTCACTTTCTCTGCCTGTAAGATGGTGCTGATAGTATCCACAGCTGTAGGGCTCTTGTGAGGGCTGAGGGAGGGAACGCAGGGATGGACACAGCAGAGGGCCAGGCCGTGTGTGCTGAGCAACACGGGTGATGCCTCCCATCCCTATGACAAGGCTGAACGGAGGGTGTTGGAAGAGGAGCTGACGGTTCACCTCTCTGTCCCTGGGGACACTATCCTCATCAACAACCGCCCAGGTCCTAGAGAGCCACCCCCGTACCAGGAGCCCCGGCCTCGTGGGAATCCGCCCCACTCCGCTCCCTGTGTCCCCAATGGCTCTGGTAAGACCTGCCTTGTTCCAGTCGCACCTCTGTCCTCTCTGCTGTTTTCTTATTGTATCCCTTTCCCATTCTCTTTTTTTCCTGTCTTCCCCAGTTTCCACTTGTTTTCTTCTTTCTGTGCCCCTGGTTACTGTCTATATCACTCTTTGTCCCTACCATGTAGTCTCTCTCAAGAGTTCCCCATGTATTACCCATAGTCCCCCGTGGTGCTATCTTGTCTGTGTCCCACAGACATCTCTCTATCTTTGTTGTACCCTCTCATTGTGTCTCCCTGGCCCCTTTGCTTTGTATTAGACTCACCATGTTTGTTCCTTCATCTATCCTCCATCACCCATCCTTCCATCCATAGTCATACATCCTTGCATCCATCCATCAATCTTCCATCATCTGTCTTTCTATCTATATTCATAAATCTATTCATCCATCCATCCACCCACCCATATCCATCATCCATCTATCCATCTATATTCACACATCCATCTTTCCATCTGTTATCCATCCATCCAACAAAACATCTGTTTACCATCCATCCATCTATTCATACGTCCCATCTGTCCATGCATTCATTATCCAGCCAGCCGTCCGTCACTCTGCAGATCCTTGTTTTATCCTGTCTGTCTCTTAATGCAATCATCCCATCAGCCCTGGTCTTGCCCTATTCAAGGTCTCCCTGTCTGTCTAGCCTTGAGTCTCATCCCTTCCCCGTGTTTCCCCTCCTCCTTCTCCCGACAGCGTTGCTGCTCTCCAATCCAGCCTACCGCCTCCTTCTGGCCACTTACGCCCGTCCCCCTCGAGGCCCGGGCCCCCCCACACCCGCCTGGGCCAAACCCACCAACACCCAGGGTAAGCCCCTCTGCCCCTGGGCTCCGCCAGGCTCCCCATACCTCTACTGGGGCAGGGAAAAGCCCTCACACCTTGCACTTCCTCCTCTCCCCACTGTGGCCTATTCTGCTCTCCTGAGCTCCCAAGGAGGAAGCTCTTGTGCCCTTAGCTCATCTCTGCTGCTGCTTGCTCTTTTTTAAGGTCCCCCCCTTGAGCTGAGGAGTAGAAAGCTTACTGGTCCCCAGCTCTTCTCCCTCCTCCTCTTCCACGCCATCTCTTCAGCTCTCCAGAGCTAGACAGGAGGTTGCTGTGGTGGCCCCAGACTATAGTAACTCCTCCTTTATTCTCCACTCTCTCTAGAGCTGCGAGGAGGAGGGCTCTCACCCCGGGCGCTTGCCCTTTCCCTCACATGTGTCCTCTCTCTGCAGTCCCAGAGGTGAAGGCTCATGCCCCAACCCTTTCCATCTGCCCCTCTTCTCCTCAGTGTTGCCTTCTCATTGTGGCCCCTTCCCCAGGGCTAAGAGGGGACAGCTCTGCTTCCTCTCCTGTCTGTAGACAACTTGTGTTGGGGCTGTGAGCAGCTGTTACCCTCCCTCCTCTCTGTGTGCCTCTGTCTCTGCTTGTTGTTGAGCTTGGTGTGTTGGGTTGAAAGGGTTGGGAGGGCTTGGCCCCAGGGGGAGCCAGGCTGAAAGCCACGGGAGAGCAGCTAAGTGAAGGGGAGGGAGCTGTGGTGAACGGGACAAGGGTTTGGAAGGTGGAGGGTGCCTGGATGCTGGGACCATCCTGAGGCGGGAGAATTCCTGGGGAGGAATTCTTCTTCCAGCCAAGATTTATCTCACAGTCTCTTGAGAGACCCTAGGGAGGCCCTAAAAGAGTAAGACTTTATGACAGTTTTGCTCAACCATATTCATTGCCTTGAAAAGCTCTGGAATAGCTAACTCTCGTCCCATGCCAGTGTCTTCCTGGTTTGAGGTTGGCGCATGGAATACTGGGAAGATACAGCATAGACCCAGTCTCTCACTCAACCGGGAGACACAGGGCCCTCCGGGAGGCTGAGGTGTGGGGAACTATAGCTCTTGGGCTGTTCCTGATGCCTCGTCCTGTCTTCTTTCCCCTCACCCCTGCAGCCTACAGTGGGGACTATATGGAGCCTGAGAAGCCAGGCGCCCCGCTTCTGCCCCCACCTCCCCAGAACAGCGTCCCCCATTATGCCGAGGCTGACATTGTTACCCTGCAGGGCGTCACCGGGGGCAACACCTATGCTGTGCCTGCACTGCCCCCAGGGGCAGTCGGGGATGGGCCCCCCAGAGTGGATTTCCCTCGATCTCGACTCCGCTTCAAGGAGAAGCTTGGCGAGGGCCAGTTTGGGGAGGTAAGGAGGGTGCCTACCCAGTGTCTGGCCCTATTGTGTGCTCTGATGCCATGCCTGCGCATCCCCCTAGCCAGGAACCTTAGTCATTTGTAACCGTGTTAATCCGTTTGACCCTGTGACCGCCTAGCAAACGAACTTCTTTCTCCAGGTGCACCTGTGTGAGGTCGACAGCCCTCAAGATCTGGTTAGTCTTGATTTCCCCCTTAATGTGCGTAAGGGACACCCTTTGCTGGTAGCTGTCAAGATCTTACGGCCAGATGCCACCAAGAATGCCAGGTGAGGACCAGGGATGGCATCTGGAAGAAGGGAGGGGAGGCCGTGAAGAGTGGGGAGCCATCTAGAGAGAACAATGGCAGAGCCCAACAGAGGGGTGGCATCTCTGGGAGGGGATTTACATGTACGCTGGGGGTGGGGACGCCTGGTCTGCCTGAGGTGGGGCAGGGGGGTGGGGGCGCGGGGGAAGGTGCAGGCCGCCCACTCGGCATTCCTCTTCAGCTTCTCCTTGTTCTCCAGGAATGATTTCCTGAAAGAGGTGAAGATCATGTCGAGGCTCAAGGACCCAAACATCATTCGGCTGCTGGGCGTGTGTGTGCAGGACGACCCCCTCTGCATGATTACTGACTACATGGAGAACGGCGACCTCAACCAGTTCCTCAGTGCCCACCAGCTGGAGGACAAGGCAGCCGAGGGGGCCCCTGGGGACGGGCAGGCTGCGCAGGGGCCCACCATCAGGTACCTGCTTACCCAGGCTGGGCCTTGCTCAGAATTCCCCCAGGGGATCTCCTCCTCTCCCCTCGCTTCAGCCTGGAGGAAAAGAGGGGAGCGTGGGGGTGGGAAGGGAGAGAGGTTCCAGGAGGGCCTGGGATAAGGAATGTGTGACAAGTTAACCCAGGAACATGGACAGAAAGGCTGGAGGTGACTATGCAAGAGTGGTGAAGGGACTTGGGCCCTGCCATGACGTCCCTTCTGCTTTCTCTCACCCTCACTCCCCTCTGAGTCCAGATTGGGGAGCACAATAAAAGAAGAGCCCCCTAGTGTTGGCCAGGCCTGGGAGATTGAGAGGGAAGTGACCCTTGGCCTCACGTGGGCATTCCACCTCCACATGGGGAGCCAGAGTGACCGGGCCCGGGGAGTGGGCTCTCTCTCCTCTCCTGGATGGGAATCTGCGAAGCTGCCCCCAGTGACCTTCTGTCGGTTCCCTTCTCAGCTACCCAATGCTGCTGCATGTGGCAGCCCAGATCGCCTCCGGCATGCGCTATCTGGCCACACTCAACTTTGTACATCGGGACCTGGCCACGCGGAACTGCCTAGTTGGGGAAAATTTCACCATCAAAATCGCAGACTTTGGCATGAGCCGGAACCTCTATGCTGGGGACTATTACCGTGTGCAGGGCCGGGCAGTGCTGCCCATCCGCTGGATGGCCTGGGAGTGCATCCTCATGGTGAGCAGCCCGAGGACAGCCAGGTTGGAGCAGGGCAGGTGGGAGAACACTGGCCGCCACTCACAGCCCTGGTCTCCATCAGTCACACACTTTCTCTGGGTTGCATTTTACAGAATCTCATCTATAATATGAGGTTCTCCTAGCCCAAGGGACTGGGGAAAGCAGGAGCTGCAGTGTGATGGGCAAGAATCCAGGAGCCAAGAGTGGGTACTGGGGATGGAGACAGGGTGGCAGAGAGCTCAAGAGATGAGGTTGGGCGAGGAAGCTGGAGATAGAAGGGGTTGGGTAGGGAGACCGAAGGTCAGGACCAGAAAGTGGGGGTGGATGGAGAGGAAGGAGGAGCAGAAGGAAGAGGTGGGCCAGGGCCCTGGAGAGAGGACCAGAGCATGGAGAGGAAAGGCAGAGCCCAAGGGAGAGGAGTTGGAAAAGGTGGCCAGCGGAGGAGAGTGGAGAGCCTGGCGTCAGGAGGGATCAGGCCTGAGTGGAGCCCAGAGTGGATCTGGGGCTTCCAATAGGAAGGGAGGAGGGTCTACGTTGCCTGATGTCCCTGTCTGTTTTTGCTGCCTTCTCTGCATCCCAGGGGAAGTTCACGACTGCGAGTGACGTGTGGGCCTTTGGTGTGACCCTGTGGGAGGTGCTGATGCTCTGTAGGGCCCAGCCCTTTGGGCAGCTCACCGACGAGCAGGTCATCGAGAACGCGGGGGAGTTCTTCCGGGACCAGGGCCGGCAGGTCAGAGTGGAGGAGAGGGAAGATGGGTCCGAGGCGGGGGACAGAAGGGGCAGAGTTGTCATCTTGGAGACTAAAGAATATTTGTTCCCTGACTCTCATCCACACTGCCACAATGCAGGTGTACCTGTCCCGGCCGCCTGCCTGCCCGCAGGGCCTATATGAGCTGATGCTTCGGTGCTGGAGCCGGGAGTCTGAGCAGCGACCACCCTTTTCCCAGCTGCATCGGTTCCTGGCAGAGGATGCACTCAACACGGTGTGAATCACACATCCAGCTGCCCCTCCCTCAGGGAGCGATCCAGGGGAAGCCAGTGACACTAAAACAAGAGGACACAATGGCACCTCTGCCCTTCCCCTCCCGACAGCCCATCACCTCTAATAGAGGCAGTGAGACTGCAGGTGGGCTGGGCCCACCCAGGGAGCTGATGCCCCTTCTCCCCTTCCTGGACACACTCTCATGTCCCCTTCCTGTTCTTCCTTCCTAGAAGCCCCTGTCGCCCACCCAGCTGGTCCTGTGGATGGGATCCTCTCCACCCTCCTCTAGCCATCCCTTGGGGAAGGGTGGGGAGAAATATAGGATAGACACTGGACATGGCCCATTGGAGCACCTGGGCCCCACTGGACAACACTGATTCCTGGAGAGGTGGCTGCGCCCCCAGCTTCTCTCTCCCTGTCACACACTGGACCCCACTGGCTGAGAATCTGGGGGTGAGGAGGACAAGAAGGAGAGGAAAATGTTTCCTTGTGCCTGCTCCTGTACTTGTCCTCAGCTTGGGCTTCTTCCTCCTCCATCACCTGAAACACTGGACCTGGGGGTAGCCCCGCCCCAGCCCTCAGTCACCCCCACTTCCCACTTGCAGTCTTGTAGCTAGAACTTCTCTAAGCCTATACGTTTCTGTGGAGTAAATATTGGGATTGGGGGGAAAGAGGGAGCAACGGCCCATAGCCTTGGGGTTGGACATCTCTAGTGTAGCTGCCACATTGATTTTTCTATAATCACTTGGGGTTTGTACATTTTTGGGGGGAGAGACACAGATTTTTACACTAATATATGGACCTAGCTTGAGGCAATTTTAATCCCCTGCACTAGGCAGGTAATAATAAAGGTTGAGTTTTCCACAACTGTGTGAGTGGGTTCCTTGGGAATTTGGTAACTCTGCCTCCTGCACCTCCCTCTGAACCCACTTCCCAACCCACTTCCCATCTTCCTTTTTTCCTGCCTCCTCATTCCATTTCCCATCACCTGTTTTGCCCAGCATTGTGTTCTGTTTCTGGATAATCCAGGCCTTTGCCTGTGGGACCTCAGGAGATGCATGAATGTCTGAGTGCATGAACCTTCTCAACTCAGAGGGGTGCTCTGGTGGAGGCCTGGAAGGAATGCAGTCAGGCCAGGGGTGCTGAACCTTTTTTGTGCCATAAACGCCTTTGGCAGTCTGTAGAGGTCTACTGAGTCCTCCTCAGAATTAGGTTTTAAAACCTATAAAATGGACCAGGCATAGTGGCTCACCCCTGTAATCCCAGCACTTTGGGAGGCTGAGGTGGGTAGATCACTTGAGGCCAGGAGTTCGAGACCAACCTGGCCAACATAGCAAAACCCCATCTCTACTAAAGATACAAAAATTAGCAGGGTGTGGTGGCATGCGCCTGTAATCTCAGCTATTCAGGAGGCTGAGGCAGGAGAATTGCTTAGAACCCGGGAGGTGGGGGTTGCAGTGAGCTGAGATCACACAACTGTGCTCCAGCCTGGGCAACAGAGTGAGACTGTCTCAAAAACAGAACAACAACAACAACAAAACCCATAAAATGTATAGGATTATAAGGGAAACCAATGGAAACAGTTTACCAAAATGCTAAAAAATTATGAAACTAATGTGCTTCTTTTTCATGTATTTAATAACAAGATCTAAAAACAGGTGTAATAAACTGACATTTTCCAAATACTAATGAGCATAAGCCATATTTGAGATTTCTACAACAGTCACAGTGAGACATAAAAGTAGCTGTGGTGTCAATTAGTGACAAGTCACAGGTACTGCTAATACTACTGGTGGTTTTACCCATATTCATAATTGGAGGAAATGCTAAACTTCTATTAGAGGTTAGTAAAAGGTGTAATTTCTTTTTCTTGCCCAAATTCTAGAACCCATCTGGCTCCCCAGGGTCTGGAAATCCCAGGGGAGAATCCCTGGGTTATGCTGATCAAGTGTGCAAATGCCCCACTGGGGGTAGGGGATAGGTTGTTGGAATGGAAACCAGAACCAGAAACCAGAATCAAGAGCCTCAGTTATCTCAGAGGCTTGGAAGGATGAGCTGCAACCACCAAGAGAACAATTAAAGGGTTCAAATTTGGTTGGAAAGAAAAAATCGGCCAGTGGGGTGGCTCATGCCCTGTAATCTCAACACTATGGAAAGCTGAGGTAGGAGGATTTCTTGAGCCTAGGAGTTTGGAACCAGCCTAGGCAACATAGCACACTCTGGCCCCCATTTATACATATATATATAAAACTAGCTGGGCTTAGTGGTGTGCACCAGCAACTCAGGAGGCCAAGGTGGGAGGATAACTTGAGCCCAGGAGGTTGAGGCTGCAGTGAGCCATGATTGCATCACTTCACTCCAGCCTGGGTGACAGAGCAAGACCCTGTCTCAAAAAGAAAATTAAAAGTCAGTTGCAGGGATGGGACAAGGCAGACCCATCTTGATGGCCATTCATGTGAAATAAAAACCCTGGGGTTTTGGTTGATGATATTCACAAAATGAGCCAATTGGATAATGAGGATCACAGTAAAGATAAATCAATGTGAAGTTGAATTAATAGGCCCTTGGGGCCTAGGTCCCGAATCTAATAGTCCTGCTAAAACTTACACAGGTCAAACCACTGTGCACTATGATTTAAGTTGTGTACCGATAGGTTAGAGTTTAGAGGCCAGATCCCAGAATAATGAGCGATGGAAGCCACGGCAGTGAGCCTGATAACCCAAATCTCTGAGCTGTCTTTCAAGCAGAAACACCTGGAGTTAATTTTTTTTTTTTTTTTTTTTTGAGACCTGGTCTCGCTCTGTCACCCAGGCTGGAGTGCCGTGGCGCAATCTCAGCTCACTGCAACCTCCGCCTCCTGGGTTCAAGCGATTCTTCTGCCTCAGCCTCCCACATAGCTGGGATTACAGGTGTGCACCACCATGCCCAGCTAATTTTTTTGTATTTTTAGTAGAGACGGGGTCTCACCATATTGGCCAGGCTGGTCTCAAACTCCTGACCTCGTGATCCGCCCACCTTGGCCTCCCAAGGTGCTGGGATTACAGGCGTGAGCCACCGTGCCCAGCCCCACCTGCAGTTAATTTAAAAGTCAGGCCCTGCTTGTCCAAACCTGCTTCTCCTCCACAGTCTACTGACTCAGTGAATGGCAGCATCATCCACTTAGCTGCACAAGCCGCACAAGGTGGCATCCCCGAGCTCCTTCTCCCTTACCTTCCACCTCTCAAGTCCAGTCCAGCACAAAACGCTGTTGATTTTGCCTCCCAAATCTCCCTGGAACTTGTCATCTCTGTCTCCATCGCCCTCCTGGCACATGCTGCCTCCATCTTGCCTGGACTCCTGCAGTGGTCTCCCAGCTGTCACCCAGATCTGCCTCTGCTCCTCTCTGGGTTGTTTTCCACCCTGCAACCACAGTTATCTTTAAAACACACAAATCTGACCCTAATCCTTCATTTCAAATCCAGCAGTGACTTTTCATTAATCTTAAAATGAAGAACAAAATCCTTCTGGCCAAGGTTGGCCCCCACATACCTCTCCAGCGTCCTCCCCCACCCGCTTGCTTTCCTCTGTGGGCCACTGGCCTTCTTTCAGATTCACCCAATGGGCCACAGTACTTCCTGCCACGTGGCCTTCGTGGCATGCTGTTCCCTCACCTGGAACAATGTTCCCTGCAGTCTGTGCCTTATTAACTCCTGCTTGTCCTTCAGCAGTCTTTCCTGACTTCCCCAACCAGGTCAAATTCCCTACTGATAATCTCAGAGGACATGAATCTCTTCTTTGTGGCACTTACTACGTGTGTAATTTTACATATCTTTTTATACCTGCCCCTCCCACCAAACTATAAGTTGCACAAGGGCAAAATCTTGGAACACAGGGCTCAATATTGGTTGAAAGAAAGAATTGTAGCAAATATCTGATAGACTAACATAGATTCTATGTAGTTACAGAACTAGAACTAGGATTAATAAGTGAAAGTTACAATAATGATGATAATATATTACTGAGCACCCACTATATACCAGGTATTGAAATTACGACATATTATATCTTACTTAATACAACAATATATGAAGTAGTTAAAATTACTTTGCACAGAGAAGAAAATTCTGTTAGGTTAAGCAGCTTGCCCAAAGTAGCAGTCAGTCAACAGTAAAGCCTGTGGGAAGTGGGTCTGTGGGCTCCTGGCTCTCTGTTCCTTTTTTTTTTTTTTTTTTTTTTTGAGACAAAGTCTTGCTCTGTCACCCAGGCTGGAGTTCAGTGGCACTATCTCCGCTCACTGCAACCTCCGCCTTCTGGGTTGAAGCGATTCTCCTGCCTCAGCCTCCTGAGTAGCTGGGATTACAGGCACCTGCCACCATGCCCGGCTAATTTTTGTATTTTTAGTAGAGACTGGGTTTCACCATGTTGGCCAGGCTGGTCTTGAACTCCTGATGTCTTGATCCACCCTCCTCGGTCTCCCAAAGTGCTGGGATTACAGGTGTGAGCCACCACGCCTGGCCCTGGCTCTCTGTTCTTTCTCTCCAGGATGCTGCCTGAGAGGAGGAGGTCATGAGCTCCCTATCACAGGAATTTTCTTTTTTGAACTACCATGCCCACTAACATGCTGGCCAACACGGTGAAACCCTGTCTGTACTAAAAATACAAAAAAAAATTAGCCAGGCATGGTGGTTCACGCCTGTAATCCCAACTACTCGGAAGGCTGAGGCACAAGAATCGCTTGAATCTGGGAGACAGAGATTGCAGTGAGCCAAGATTGTGCCACTGCATTTGACCTGGGTGACACTGTAAGACTCTGTCCCCTCACCCCCTCCAAAAGAGGTGTGCCTATTTCAATTTTTTTTTTTTTTTTTTTTTTTTTTTTTTTTTTTTAATTTGAGACAGACTCTCATTTTGTTGCCCAGTCTGGAGTGCAATGGTGTGATCTCAGCTCACTGCAACCTCCACCTCCAGGGCTCAAACAACCCTCCTGCCTCAGCCTCTCAAGTAGCTGGGCCTACAGGCATGCACCCTCATGCCCAGCTAATTTTTTTATTTTTTGTAGAGACAGGGTTTCACCATGTTGCCCAGGCTGGTCTCAAACTTCGGGGCTCAAGTGATCTGCCTGGCTTGGCCTCCCTTCAAAGTGCTGAGATTACAGGCATGAGCTACTGGACCCGGCCTCAATTTTCAGCAAAAGTGTATGAGTATGCTCCTATACCCTGGTCAACATTGAGGTTGTCAATCCTTAATTTCTTTTTTGCTGAACTTTTATATTTTAATTTTATTTATGTATTTATTTTGAGATAGAGTCTTGCTCTGTTGCCCAGGCTGGAGTGCAGTGGTGTGATCTCGGCTTACTGCAACCTCAGCCTACTGGGTTCAAGTGATTCTCCTGCCTCAGCCTCCCAAGTAGCTGGGATTACAGGCGCCCGCCACCATGTCTGGCTAATTTTTGTATTTTCAGTAGAGACGGGGTTTCACCCGCTCAGGCTAGTCTCGAACTTCTGACCTCAAGTGATCCACCCGCCTCAGCCTCCCAAAGTGTTGAGATTATAGGTGTGAGCCACTGCCTCCGGCCGATTTATTTATTTTTATTTTTATTTATTTATTTATTTTGAGATGGAGTTTCACTCTTGCCCAGGCTGGAGTGCAATGGTGTGGTCTCAGCTCACTGCAACCTCTGCCTCCCGGGTTCAAGTGATTCTCCTGCCTCAGCCTCCCAAGTAGCTGGGATTACAGGCGCCCGTCACCATGCCAGCTAATTTTTGTGTTTTTAGTAGAGACAAGGTTTCTACTAAAATGTTGACCAGGCTAGTCTGGAACTCCTGACCTCAGGTGATCCACCCACCTTGACCTCCCAAAGTGCTGGCATTACAGGTGTGAGCCATGGCGCCTGGCCTATATATTTATTTTTAAGAGACAGTCTAATTCTGCGGCCAGGCTGGAGTGCAGTGGTGTAACTGTAGCTCACTACAGCCTTGAACTGCTGGACTCAACCGATCTTCCTACCTCAGCCTCCTGAGTAGCTAGGACTTCAGGTGTGTGCATACCGAGCTAATTTCTTTTTCTCTTTTCTTTTCTTTTCTTTTCTTTTTTTTTTTTTTTTTTTTTTGAGACAGGGTCTCACTGTATAGCTCAGGCTGGAGTGCAGTGGCATGATCACAGCTCAGTGTAGCCTTGACCTCCTGGGTCCAAACAATCCTCCTGCCTCAGCCTCCTGAGTAGCTGGGACCACAGAACCAGGCCTGGCTAATTTTTTGAATTTTTTTTTTTTTTTTTTGAGACAAAGTCTCGCTCTTGTCCCCCAGGCTGGAGTGCAATGGTACGATCTCAGCTCACTACAAACTCCACCTCCCGGGTTCAAGCGATTCTCCTGCCTCAGCCTCCCGAGTAGCTGGGCTTATAGGCGCCTGCCACCACGCCCGGCTAATTTTTGTATTTTTAGGAGAGACGGGTTTCACCATGTTGGCCAGGCTGGTCTCGAACTCCTGATCTCGGGTGATCCACCCACCTCGGCCTCCCAAAGTGTCGGGATTACAGGCGTGAGCCACCGTGCCCAGCCAATTTTTTGATTTTTGAAACATTTCTGATATTCTGTTTAACTTTCTTTTTGCTTTGGCCAATCTTTCTTTCTCTTTCCTTCTTTCCCCCTCCCTAACCCTCCCTTCCTCTCCCCTCCCCAATTCTCCCCTCTCCAGTTCTCCCCTGTCCTCTCCTCTCTTCCCCTCTCCTTTTGGGACAGGGTCTCACACTGTTGCTCAGGCTGGAGTGCAGTGGTGCTATCATTGCTCACTGCAGCCTCAATCTCCTGGGCCCAAGTGATCCTTCTACCTCAGCCTCTTGAGCAGCTGGGACCGCAGGAGAGCACACCACTACACCTAGCTAATTTTTGTTTTGTTTTGTTTTTGTAGCGATAGAGTTTCTGTATAATGCCCAGGCTGGTCTGGAACTCCTGAGCTAAAATGATCCACCTTCTTTGGCCTCCCAAAGTGTTGGGATTACAGGCCTGAGCCACCCCGCCAGGCCTCTTTCTTTTCTTTTTCTTTTCTTCTTCTTTTTTTTTTTTTAAGCTGCTCCTTGCTGAGCAGGGCTAACTAGTAAGCAGTGGTCTGTCCCAATCTTTCTATTATGTTTCTTTTTCTTATTGCTTTGTAACAGCTTTTTGTATTTTGTTTATTTCATCAACCATTTCTTCCTAGATTGTAAATTGTCTTTCAACCTTACCTAAAGTTTGCCATAAAGAAGCTCTGTCAATTTTTAGCTTTTCTTTGAAGATTTTAAAACATTAATTGCTAAAAAGACAGGGACAACAGAAAACATGGGTGGGCTACAAAGTATAAAAAGTCTTGCATAGTCATTACCATTTTGATCCCTGGTTGCTTGCAAATGTGCTTCAAATCCCAGCTTGGGCACTTCCTGTCTGATTGTAGGGATTTTTTTTTTAATTTTTTTTTTTTTAGAGATGGGCATCTCAGGTTGGGCTCAGTGGCTCATGCCTGTAATCCCAACACTTTGGGAAGCTGAGGCAGGTGGGTCACCTGAGGTCAGGAGTTTGAGACTAGCCTGGCCAACATGTTGAAACCCTATCTCTACTAAAAATACCAGAATTAGCCGGGCGTGGTGGCACACACCTGTAGTCCCAGCTACTTGGGAGGCTGAGGTAAGAGAATCGCTTGAACCCGGGAGGCTGAGGTTGCCGTGAGCTGAGATCATGCAACTGCACTCCAGCCTGGGTGACAGAGTGAGAGACTCCGTTTCAAAAAAAAAAAAAAAAGAGAGAGAGAAATGGGGGTCTCCCTCTGTCACCCAGGCTGGTGCGATCATAGCTCACTGTAGCCTCAAACTCCTAGTCTCAAGCGATCCTCCTGCCTCAGCCTCCCAAGTAGCTGGGGGTCACAGCTCTGAGCCACCTCGCCAGGCTGCAGGCAAATTTCTTAATCTTGCCGGGCTCCAGTCTTCCAGTCTATAAGGTGGGAATAACAAAATTTGCATATAGGAATTTGGGGAAACGTGTAGTTCTGGGTTTGGGTGAAGACCTCCACTTTTGTAGTAGGTTCATAAATCAAATCAGAGCAAATAGTTGGTGTCTTAAAAACTGTATTTATCTGGGTCTTCTAAGTAAACGGTTTGAGGAGTGGTGGAGGCAGAAATTAAGATTTACTGAGTACTTAGGGTCAAGTAAGGTGCACTGGATCGTGTTAATCGTTAACTCGTGGAAACCGCCCAGAGTGTGTACGCTTTCTTTCTTTTCTTTCCTTTTCTTTTTTTTTGAGACGGAGTTTCACTCTTGTCGCCCAGGCTGGCGTGTAATGGCATGGTCCTGGCTCACTGCAACTCCGCCTCCAGGGTTCAAGCGATTCACCTGCCTCAGCCTCCAGAGTAGCTGGGATTACAGGTGCCCACCACCACGCCCGGCTAATTTTTGTATTTTTAGTAAAGACGGGGGTTTCACCATGTTGGCCAGGATGGTCTCGAACTCCTGACCTCGGGTGATTCGCCGCCTCGGCCTCCCAAAGTGCTAGGATTACAGGCGTGAGTCACCGCGCCCGGCCTGGAGTGTGTATTATCCCAATTTTATGGGGAGTAATTGTGCTCACTCGGCTCACCACCAAGTCGCCAGAGCGCGCCTCCGCAAGGAAGCCCTCCAGGCACTTCTACTTTCCCGGACCCGCCTCCCGCTCCAGCCGGTTACACGCGCCGTTAGCAGCGTGGGCGGAGTTGGTTCTGCCTTCGCGGAACCAACTGGTCCAGCTTCTGGTGTCTCCCCTCGCTCAATTAAAAGCCAGCTCCTCTCCTTTCGGCTTCCCCACGGTGCCTTTCGGGATTTGTAGTCAGACGCGCTTCAGCCGGCTCTAAGGAGAGCAAAGGCAAGACTCCAATTCCCAGCATCCCCCGCGCCCGGAGAGTGCAGCGTCTATTCTCATCCTCTTCACTTTTCCACTCCTCCCCTTACCTCCCTTCTCTTCTGAATTCTCCATTCTGGGCTCTTGCCTGTGAAATCTTTCTTTGCTTTCCCCATCTTTTCCTCGCATTTTTTCACCATCTTTCCCTCAATCTCCAGGAGCCAATGCGAGACTTTGGCTCCGATTAAGCGACGGCCCGAGACTCGGGGTGCGCGAGGAGGATCGACAGAGTGGTGAGGGGACCTAGGAGGGCGGGAGTGGCAGAGGTATGAGAGAGAGAGAGGTGAGTGGGAGGCGAAGAGTGAGAGGAAGGCAGGGAGAAGCTAGGAGATCGGAAGGCGTGGGTCAGGGTGAATGACGTGAAGTAGACTTGGGAAGGGAAAAGAGGTGGCTTTAGATTTGGGAAGCATGGAGGGGAGAGGTTACCGCCGTACTTAGCAGAAGTGGGCTAAGAGATAGAAGATAGGAAGGACGGGCAGATTTGGAGCTTGTAGACTGGTCTGACCAGGATGGGATGGAAGAGAGAGGTGTGGGCTCAATTTTCTTTGTCCCTGTTTAGCCAAAGATGAGACAAGTCATTGAAATACAAAATGATCTTGCAAACACTGGACAGTTAACAATTCTGTCACTTGGTAATTGAGGGAAGACTGGAGTTGAAGGGCAGAAATAGGGTGAGGAGGCAAGAAAGGGAGGGAGATTGGTCAGGTTTGGGAGAAACCAGAGGAGATGAGTGACATGGGAAAGGAGACCACAGAAAAGGTGGGGTTATTGTGGGGACTGATGGATCTGGAATCAGTTAGAAAGGTCAGGGGTGACACTGGCATGGATGGTGAGGTTGCACTTCTGACGTTTGCATTCCTCAGGTGATGGAGAGCACCCCTTCAAGGGGACTGAACCGAGTACACCTACAATGCAGGAATCTGCAGGAATTCTTAGGGGGCCTGAGCCCTGGGGTATTGGACCGATTGTATGGGCACCCTGCCACATGTCTGGCTGTCTTCAGGTGAGAAGCCCCTTCATGGCAGGGAAATGTAATGGGGTCTGCGGAGTGGAATAAAATATCATAGGTAAAAGTGTAGCAGCCTGGAGTCGGGGTGGGGACTGGGGGCAAGGGTTGGAAATTGCTCTAAAGTGTGGAGGCCAAAACAGCAGGACTGGTAAAGTTGTGCTGGAGTGAGATGAGATGTTTGAGAGGTAATTGAGGGCAGAGATGCAGATACAATGCAGCTTCTGATACTAACCTTTGACCTCTGTTCCTGTACAGGGAGCTCCCATCCTTGGCTAAGAACTGGGTGATGCGGATGCTCTTTCTGGAGCAGCCTTTGCCACAGGCTGCTGTAGCTCTGTGGGTAAAGAAGGAATTCAGCAAGTAAGTCTCAGCCAGATACAAATTTCTCAACAGCTACATTTCCCAAACTGCTGTTCCTTGGAGCACTTCCAGGAAGTGTTAATAGATATATCACAAAACTTAAAAATAAATACATTTGGGAAACTCTGCATATTGCCTTTTCCCTTTTATTTATTTCCCAGCTGAGATCTTGCTTTCAAATGTATCTTCCCTCTTAAAGAGTTATGTGTGATATCTGTAATGAGGCTCTGATAAGTAATGCAGTAAAGAATTTGTCTTAGGAAGATACTAATTTCACTCTGTGGAACAGTGTTCCAAGGGTCAGCAAGTTCAGAACAGGCAGAGATGGTGGCTTTTATGGGCCTCCTTTTTGTTTTCCAAATACCCTACTCACCTCTCTGCTTCTGTTCCAGGGCTCAGGAGGAAAGTACAGGGCTGCTGAGCGGCCTCCGGATCTGGCACACACAGCTGCTCCCAGGCGGGCTCCAGGGCCTCATCCTCAACCCCATTTTCCGCCAGAACCTCCGCATTGCCCTTCTGGGTGGGTATGTCACTTCTCTCTCTTCCTAAGCTAGGGCAGGGGAACTGCTGCTTATTAAACCACTAATTAAACTTTGGGAGGGGGAGCTCCTGGGGGCCTCCCCAGAACCTTGTGGTCTCCACGTTGGGAACTCCTTTAGGAGTAAGTTGGACCAGATGTAGTGTGTGGTGTAGGAAATGTCCCCCACTCATGGCCCCTGAGGATAAGGGTGGAAAGATGGCAGAGGGCAGCAAGGAACACAGACAGGGTTCCTTACTCTTTTTTTGTTGTTCTGTTTTGTTTGTTTTTGAGACAGAGTCTCACTCTGTCACCAAGGCCAGAGTGCAGTGGTGTAATCTTGACTCACGGCAGCCTCTACCTCCTGGGTTCAAGTGATTCTCCTGCCTCAGCCTCCTGAGTAGCTGGGATTACAGGCACCCACCACGACGCCAGGCTAATTTTTTGTATTTTTAGTAGAGATGGGGTTTCGCCATGTTGGCCAGGCTGGTCTTGAACTCCTGACCTCAAGTGATCCGCCCATCTCGGCCTCCCAAAGTACAGGGATTACAGGTGTGAGCCACTGCGCCTGGCCAGGGTTCCTTACTCTTGGCCCATCCTGGCCGTAGGGGGAAGGCCTGGTCTGATGACACAAGTCAGCTGGGACCAGACAAGCATGCCCGGGACGTTCCCTCCCTTGACAAGTACGCCGAGGAGCGATGGGAGGTAAGCACTTGGGAGTGTGTGTGTCTCTGCTTGTGCTTCTACTTCCCATGGCCCTTGGGGCATGGTCTCCCTGTTCTCTTCTGTTCTTCAGGTGGTCTTGCACTTCATGGTGGGCTCCCCCAGTGCAGCTGTCAGCCAGGACTTGGCTCAGCTCCTCAGCCAGGCTGGGCTCATGAAGAGGTGAGGAAGCCGGAGGTACAGCAGCTCTCTGCTGTGCCATCTCCTTGGGTCCCTAAGAAATGGTATCTGGGGCTAGTCAAGATCAGAGGACATTAGCTGGAAAAGGCAAGCTGAGTAGAATATAGCCAGAGATACCAAGAAAAAACGTGAGTGGACAAGTGGGGATAGTAGTCTTTCTCTGCATATCACCATCATTGTCCTGGTCTTTGTCTCTAGTACTGAACCTGGAGAGCCGCCCTGCATTACTTCCGCTGGCTTCCAGTTCCTGTTGCTGGACACCCCGGCTCAGCTCTGGTACTTTATGTTGCAGTATTTGCAGACAGCCCAGGTGAGGAGGCAGGGCCACTTAACCAGCATGCTCTGCTCCTCTCAGGTCTCACTGAGAGACTCCTGCCTACAGACTGTTCCCTGATTTTCTCTTCTCTGTCCCTTTCTTCCCATTGTCTCCCTCCCATCCCTCCTCCTTTGTCTCTGCCTCTTTCTCCCTAGAGCCGGGGCATGGACCTGGTAGAGATTCTCTCCTTCCTCTTCCAGCTCAGCTTCTCTACTCTGGGCAAGGTAAGCAGGGGGCTGAAAGGTATAGAGATGGGAAGGGGAAAGCAAGTTGTGGGGCAGTAGAGTAGACTGAGAAGATAAGAATGAAAACAGAACGAACAGAGATGGAGAAAGAAAGAATGAATGTATGGGGTTGGGGGTGGGTGGGTTGTGTTTTGGACCCCAGCTGGAAACCTCTGTTCCTCAGGATTACTCTGTGGAAGGTATGAGTGATTCTCTGTTGAACTTCCTGCAACATCTGCGTGAGTTTGGGCTTGTTTTCCAGAGGAAGGTATGAGCGCCTAGATAAGTGGCTTCCAGGGAAGAAACAGGGTGGTGTGTTGCCTTTGCCTTTAAAAAGGAGTGGGGTCTTGGGGCAGTAGCAGGAAGCAGTTGCCAGAACTGAATACTTGGGTCTCTCGGGGGAGAGAAGTTGGGGGTTGAGGTTCTGCATCTTGGGAGGGATCTGATATTTCAGGCAGGAAGATGTAAGGCAGTGACTTCTGAGACAAGGCATCTGCCTTTCTATTCTTTTCAGAGGAAATCTCGGCGTTACTACCCCACACGCCTGGCCATCAATCTCTCATCAGGTGTCTCTGGAGCTGGGGGCACTGTGCATCAGCCAGGTTTCATTGTCGTGGAAACCAATTACCGACTGTATGCCTACACGGGTGAGGCGGGACAGAGGGCCCCTGGAAGAGGAGGTTGGGGGTGAGGGAATGCCAGTTTATGTTCGTGTTTACCTGGCAGTCTACAGAGCTCTCTGACATTTCTCATGACACTTGAAAGAAGGGCTTGAGGGAGTCTGGGTGTGGGGGTGGCCTCCTCATCCTCTTTCTATCCCTGGCTCAGAGTCGGAGCTGCAGATTGCCCTCATTGCCCTCTTCTCTGAGATGCTCTATCGGTTCCCCAACATGGTGGTGGCGCAGGTGACCCGGGAGAGTGTGCAGCAGGCAATCGCCAGTGGCATCACAGCCCAGCAGGTATTCCCACTTGGGAGAGGTGGAGCAGGAAGACAGGCTGCACTTGGGCTGCGGGGGACAGGGGTCACATTATGGAAGGCTAGCTCTGAGTCTGTTATAATAGGTGGTGGTGAGTTGTCTGTGTTTGAAGAGAAATGAAGGCTTTGGGTGTGAGAATAGGTAGACCCTTGAGGGGAAAAAAACATGGAGGGAGGAGGTATAGATCTGGATTTGTGCCTCGGCACTGCCACATCCTAACTGCGTAAACTAGACATAGTTGTTTTGCCTCTGTGAGCCTCAGTTTCCTCATCTAGTAAATGACAGTTCTTACCTCAGGGTTGCCGGGATAATTCATTGGAAGAATAGGGGCAAAGCATTGAGCTCAGCACCTGTCATGCAATAAATGCTAAAAAAAGAAAATAGTAGCTGCTGCTATTTTAAAGAAAGAAAAACAAAACATTACTGGAAAGGGCGAATGTGCCAGAAAAGGAATATCCCACGTTGCTGGGAGCAGCAACGTGGGATAACAGCTGAACTGGGATGGGTGGAGTTGATGACAGGAGTTATGAGTTTTTAGAATAAGCTGATGTTCCAGTGACATTAGGTGACAGCTCAGATGGCTTTCCTGCCTTCTTGCTGGAGCCCTCATGCCATTCTTGTCTGTTTTCCTAGATAATCCATTTCCTAAGGACAAGAGCCCACCCAGTGATGCTCAAACAGGTATAGACAGGCTCCAAGATGTCAGAGGCTGGCAGCTGGTGATGACATGATGGAAAAGAAAAAGGGGCATCCAAATCTGGGGAAGAAACAGAGGGCCGGGTTGTCTGGGGCAGTATTCTGAGTCCCTACAGTCAACCCTTGCTCCTTGCAGACACCTGTGCTGCCCCCCACCATCACCGACCAGATCCGGCTCTGGGAGCTGGAAAGGGACAGACTCCGGTTCACTGAGGGTGAGTAGCTTCTGGTGGCCAAGTCTTGGTCATTGGCCAGAGAAAGGGCAGACAGTTCAGTCTGCATTTTATTTTTTACTTCATGGACTAGGAGAGAAAAGCTGGCAAGACAGTTTTTTGTTGTTTTGGGGTGAGTCGGTAGTAAACAAATCGTCCCAAATCAATGCACTTTGGATTTGGCTAGGTGAGGGAATAATTCACAGTAATTTGTATTAGGCCTTTCTGAATATGGCTGGATCACACTGGTGTTAAGATGAACCCCTGAGCAGACAAGCATAGAGAATTAGTTTGTAAAATTGCGGTGGGGGCAAGCCCAGACCGCGTCCAGGGCTGCCACCAAGGAGCTGGGGGGATTCCCAATAGGAGCTCCGAGCTTCACTTTCTCGTCTTCTCCCCGCGCCCCTCCCGTCCTGCCGACCCCAGGTGTCCTGTATAACCAGTTCCTGTCGCAAGTGGACTTTGAGCTGCTGCTGGCCCACGCGCGGGAGCTGGGCGTGCTCGTGTTCGAGAACTCGGCCAAGCGGCTCATGGTGGTGACCCCGGCCGGGCACAGCGACGTCAAGCGCTTTTGGAAGCGGCAGAAACATAGCTCCTGAGAGCGCGGGACTTGGACACGGACCTCGGCGGGCGGGACTGGGCGGGGCGGGGCATCAGAACTCAGGTGTTTTTTATTTACGCGTCAGGGCTTTTCTTGTTTAATAAAGTTATGATAGCTAGCAGTGCGGTCCCGGGCGCCTCCCCGTGGGGTTTGCCTTCGCGGCGGACTCGCTCCTCTGGTCTACAGCCTTTGGACCGGTAGGGAGAGGGTGGGGCCAAAGCCAGCTGCTGCGCATGCGCCGGCCGGGGCCCCGCCCCCATGCGCCGCGCGGCTCCAGGGCCACGTTCCAGGGTCGGGTTTGGTGGATTCCTCAGTCCCTGCCGCCGCGGGGCGCCCTGGGATAGCGGCGGGGCCTCCTGGTGAGCGCGCGCCGGGGCGGCCTCCGGGAAGTGGGAGACGCTGCGGGTCCTGGGCCCAGGCCTTGGGATGGGCGGGAAGGCTTGGCCGCGCCGGGCTGTGGGCACTGCAGGAGGCCCCTGTGCAGGTGGAGATCGCCGCGGCCCTGGCGGGACTCCTTGCTGGCTCTTGGGCGCGCTGATGCCCATCATCTCCCTGAGTTTCTGAGCCCTATCTCTCATGTGTCAGTGGTCACCGCCGAATCCAGACACTCCGGCCCTGTTCCGGAAGAGCCCTGATATCCGTGGCTCCATGGCGCTGTCTGTCGATACCATGCACTCTAGCTCTCAAGGAGGAAAGGTTTTGTGGAAGGGAATAGAGACTTGGAATAACAGACCTGTGCTAATTAGAGACAGGAAAGATGGAACAAGGGGAGTGACCCTTCTCCACCCCCATATCCTAATGTGCTCTCTCTCTATCCAGAACAGATCTCGGCCCCTTTCCAAACACTCCTGATGCCTCATTTGCCTCTCGCCTCTTTTCGACCACCATTTTGGGGGCTGAGGCACTCACGGGGCCTCCCCAGGTTTCACTCCGTTTCTACACAGTCGGAGCCCCATGGATCTCCCATCTCCCGGAGGAACCGTGAAGCCAAACAGAAGCGCCTGCGAGAGAAGCAGGCGACTCTGGAGGCTGAGATAGCAGGGGAGAGCAAGGTTAGGGGTCAGACAGCTTGTCCTTGGGTTTCTGAGACTTGAGAGGGGCTGGAGGAGACCGGCTGAAATGCAGTCTGGGGTATACTGGATCCCAGCCTCTTCTGCTTTCTCTTCTCAGTCACCTGCAGAATCCATTAAGGCCTGGAGGCCTAAGGAGTTAGTATTGTATGAAATCCCTACGAAACCCGGTGAAAAGAAAGGTAAGTAGAATAAGTAAGAAGGCCTTTTCTTTCACATATGTGTTGCCCATTTGGCCTGCCGAAATGCAGCCTGGGAACAAGTTCAGTGGTTAGTGGAGCTCTCCTCTGCCTTCACAGATGTCTCTGGGCCCCTGCCTCCTGCATACAGCCCCCGATATGTTGAGGCTGCCTGGTACCCGTGGTGGGTACGAGAGGGCTTCTTCAAACCAGAATATCAGGTTAGTATCTGGCAGGGAGGGGTCCTAAATTGTCTCCAGGACAGAGTGGCCCTTGAATACAACTGGACCTCAGAGTTGAGCTCACATTGTAGACCTTGTCTTCTTTCTGGCTCTGGTGTCTCCAAAGATTTCTCTTGGCAGGTTCCCCCTGGCCAATTCCCTCCTCTCCACTCTCCTCTTATTTGCAGGACAGTTCTTCCTTGAAGTTCTTTCTGTTCTGGAGACAGTAGAGGGTGCTCTTTCCCCAATCCAATTCTCTCTTGCCCCTTTGACTTTTTTTCTTCCTCTAGGCCCGGCTGCCCCAAGCTACAGGGGAGACCTTTTCCATGTGTATCCCACCTCCCAATGTCACTGGCTCCCTGCACATTGGCCACGCACTCACGGTGGCCATACAGGATGCCCTCGTGCGCTGGTGAGAGGGGAGTGGGGGCTGCTTGAGTTCTTGGAAGGGAAATAGGAAGGGCAGGAATGAGTGAGGATAAACATTTAAGCTCAGGGGCTCACAGGAGGGCATTTTTGTTGCAGGCACCGGATGCGTGGGGATCAAGTGCTGTGGGTCCCTGGTTCAGATCATGCAGGAATTGCTACACAAGTATGTCTTTTGTTACCTGTTCCTTTTCTTGGGCAAAAGCAATTTCTTCCCCCAAAGCAACCAAGCAACCTGACTCTGTTCATTTGCCCTGAATCCAACTGCAGGCTGTGGTGGAGAAACAACTGTGGAAGGAACGGGGAGTGAGGAGACATGAGCTGAGCCGGGAGGCCTTCCTTAGGGAGGTGTGGCAGTGGAAGGAGGCGTGAGTATGATGGGCAGGACTCGGGGGGCCCAGATGGCAGATTTGGTTTCTTGCCTCCCACCACTATCACTCCTGACTTGTAATCCTTGGCTCTTCCCGACACAGCTCTGACTTCCTCAGAGATGGAAGCTCTGGAGCCTGTTAACATTTGGTGGAGTTTCTAAGCCTTATGTGTGTGGATATTATATATGCATTAGAATATTCGTGTGTGTGTGTGTGTGTGTGTGTGTATTTATATATATATATATATTTTCTTTCTCTTTACTTACCCCAATTTCTCTTGTCTAAATCTCACCTTCTTCCACTCGCCCATTCCCACCTTTCAATTCCCATGGAATTACCCTCATTCTTCTGGGTCTGTTATCTCATGCCATCTCTGTGAAGCATCCTTGGATTTCCCACAATATGGCTATCCCTCCTCTCTTCCTATAGAATCTTTTGCCTCTTTTAATATCTTAGAAAACCCCATACTGGGTTTGTAAGTCCATTTCTATTAGCCTCTAGAGGCTAGATCAATGCCATCCTCACTTGATTTTCCTCCAACACCTGGCATTGCTGGGGGCATCGCTGGGCCTGGTACATAGGAAGTGCTTGGGAAGTGTTTGCTGACAAGGATCTCTCTGGGCACAGGAAAGGTGGAGAGATCTGTGAGCAGCTGCGAGCTCTGGGTGCCTCCCTGGACTGGGATCGAGAGTGTTTTACCATGGATGTTGTGAGTGTTCTGTGCCTTGGTCCCTGTGAGTGATGGGCGATGTTTAGGGATCTGTGTGGGGCAGGGAGGAAGCAATGCCTGGGTCCCTGAGCAGGGTGATGGGCTGAGAAGTGGCTCTTAGAGGTGGACACTCAGGTCATTCCAGGGCTCCTCAGTGGCTGTGACTGAAGCTTTTGTGCGGCTCTACAAGGCGGGGTTGCTGTACCGGAACCATCAGCTTGTCAACTGGTCATGTGCTTTAAGATCAGCCATCTCGGACATTGAGGTGAGGCGGAGAGAGGGAAGCAGGTTTGTGAGAGCTCTGAGGCAGAGTGGTCAATGATTAAGAGCTCAGACTCTGGAGCCAGGGTGCCTGGATTCAAATCTGATGCCTGCCTGTTACAGCTGTGTGGCTTTTGGCAGGCCGTTTAGTCTCTTTAAGCCTCAGCTTCCTCAGTCTGTAAATTAGAGATGATGGAATGCTTGCATCGTGGGGGTGTTGTAAAAATTAAATGAGAATTCACATAGGTGCTTGGCAAGATACCTGGCCATGGCTTAAGTGCTCAGTGAATATTTATTAGAAGTGTGACTGCACGAGCATTGGGTGAGGGCAGAGGGAGGTAGCTCCCGAATCCTCCAAATGGCTTTTAGATGGATTGCAGGGAGGCTGGGCAGATGGATGAGTGGCAGAGTGAAGCCTGGGCATGAGCCTTGCAGAAAGGCTGCCCTCTGACCCAGCTTTCTCGGTGCCTCCAGGTGGAGAACCGGCCCCTGCCTGGCCACACACAGCTTCGACTGCCTGGCTGCCCCACCCCCGTGTCTTTTGGCCTCCTATTTTCTGTTGCCTTCCCCGTGGATGGAGAGCCTGGTGAGCATAGTACTCTGCAGGGTCACCCGTTTACCTCCATTTTTCCTGTTTTCTGAAGCCCATGTTGGGCTGCTAGGAACCCATCAGTCCATCTCTCACATGTACCTTGGTAGTGTTCACCTCAGCGTGGGCACTTACCCAGGGTCTTCTGGGGGATGTACAAAAAGTGCATGTGGTCACTGCCCTTTGAGAGTGTGGTGTGATTCTTCAGGAGTGCGCTACCCAGGAAAGAGATCAGTTCTAAGGTATGTTTTGTTTTGTTTGTTTGTTTGTTTGTTTTGAGACAGAGTCTCACTCTGTCACCCAGGCTGCAGTGCAATGGCACGATCTCGGCTCCTGCAACCTCTGCTTCCCAGGTTCAAGCGATTCTCCTGTCTCAGCCTCCTGAGTAGCTGGGATTACAGGCGCGTGCCACCAGGCCTGGCTAATTTTTGTATTTTTAGTAGAGACGGGGTTTCACCATGTTGGTCAGGTTGGTCTCGAACTCCTGACCTCGTGATCTGCCCGCCTTGGCCTCCCAAAGTGCTGGGATTACGGGCGTGAGCCACTGCACCTGGCCTCTAAGGTGTGGTTTTTACGGTAAATGTTCTGAAGAGCTCAGAGAAAGGGAAGACAGATGAGCTGGAATTGTCAGTGGAAGCTTCTTGTAGGAGCTGGTGCTCCCCCTGAGGAATGTACAGCATTTGTGATTAGGACACTGAGAATCCCCAGTGTCCTCTGGGCACCCAGCAAGAATTCTATTATAGTTGCTTTAATTAATGCTGCCCCCATTTCTTCCATGCAAATTATCAGGGAATTCTTTAGCACCAGAGACCCTCTCAGACCTCTGGTCATCAGCTTATGGGAAACCCTGGGTTCCTATAAACACTGCTCCTACTTTTTTCTAGTCACTCCTGGGGGCCTCTTCCACCTTGACTACTCCCTGCCCCTTCCCCTTTCCAGTTCTACTGCCTTTAGCTATGTTGGCAGTGAGAGGTGAGGATGATGACCAGCTGTAAGTGTTTAAATGTTTATCTTCAGATGCAGAGGTTGTGGTAGGAACCACAAGGCCAGAGACGCTGCCTGGAGATGTGGCTGTGGCCGTTCATCCAGACGACTCGCGATACACAGTAATACCCAGTGCGCTCCTGCACTCTGGCCCGCCCCGCCAATGGCCTTCTCTTCTCTTGGGTTTTAAATGGTGGCTCTTTCTCTCTTGCTTCTACTTCCTTTTCCTGAGACTTCTCTCAGTGGTTCTGATTGGACTCCCTCCTCCTCTTATAGTTTTTCTGTAGCTCAGGGGTTGACAAACTGGCCCATGGTCCTAATCCAGCTTGCGGCCTTTTTTTTTGAGACAGAGTCTCGCTCTGTCACCAAGGCTGGAGGGCAGTGGTGTGATCTTGGCTCACTGCAACCTCCACCTCCTGGGTTCAAGCAATTCTCCTGCCTCAGCCTCCTGAGTAGCTGGGAGCGTGGCACCATGCCCGGCACGTGCCACCACACCCAGCTAATTTTTTGTATTTTTACAAAAATTAGTAATTAATTTTTTTTAAGTAATGTAATTTTTAAGTAATGTTATTTAGTAGAGACGGAGTGTCACTGTGTTAGCCAGGATAGTCTCGATCTCCTGACCTCGTGATCTGCCCACCTCGGCCTCCCAAAGTGCTGGGATTACAGGCGTGAGCCGCCGCGCCTGGCTGCTTGCAGCCTTTATATTATCTATGGCTGCTATTATATACCCTCTCCAGCTCTGCTGCAGTGGCATAATAGAGTAATTGTGCTGAGAATGAATTTGTCTCTAGGCCCAAAAGCCTAAAATATCTACATTCTGGCCCCTTAAGAGTTTGCTGACCTTGCTCTAGCTTGCTACCTTCCACTTTCTACCTTCTTATTCCTGGGGTTCTCACGCCCCAGCCCAGACCCTTCCAACCCTCACAGGTGCCTGTCCTTGATCCCTCTCCCTTCCCTTCAGCATCTACACGGGCGACAGCTTCGTCACCCCTTGATGGGGCAGCCTCTTCCCCTCATCACAGACTATGCTGTTCAGCCACATGTGGGCACGGGTGAGTGGAAGTCAGGGGAGGGAGAGAAAGTTGGGGGTCCTGGAGGAGAGGGGAGGGAACCAGGAGGAAGAGGAAGGTGGGAGTGGGAGATCCTCATATAGGGTGGTCTGAGTGGGGAATGGGAGGGAGGCACAGACAGAGAAAGTCGCAGGGGCTGGGGCGGTGCAGGTGATGATGATACATCTGGAAAAGCAAAAGCCAAGGTCAGGTTCAGTACTCACCATGGCTGTGCTCCCCAAGGGGCAGTGAAGGTGACTCCAGCTCACAGTCCTGCCGATGCTGAGATGGGGGCCCGACATGGCTTGAGCCCCTTGAATGTCATTGCGGAGGATGGGACCATGACCTCCCTCTGCGGGGACTGGCTGCAGGTGGTACCACCCTATGTTACCCCATCCTTTGGGGGCTCTCTGTCCCCCTAATCCTCCTCCTAGTTTCTTATTTCTCTAGAGGCCTTCAGTCTTTACTCTTGCCGCTTTTTCTCCAGGGTCTTCACCGGTTTGTGGCCCGGGAAAAGATAATGTCTGTGCTGAGTGAATGGGGCCTGTTCCGGGGCCTCCAGAACCACCCCATGGTACTGCCCATCTGCAGGTAACCTCATTTTAACTCCTTTACTAAGGGCTACCCCAAAAGGGAATGTATGGAGCTTAAGGGTGACAATAGGATGGGCTCTGCACCCCTCCGTTAGAATACGAGCTCCGTGTCGGTTTTATTCGCTATTGTATCCTCAGTACCAAGGGCCTGGCATGGCATGGGGTCTTGTGCCCCTGGGAGAAGTCACAGGGCCGGAAGAGCAGTGGACTCACCCTGTCTCTCTTTCAGCCGTTCTGGGGATGTGATAGAATACCTGCTGAAGAACCAGTGGTTTGTCCGCTGCCAGGAAATGGGGGCCCGAGCTGCCAAGGTGAGGCTGCAGTGTAGGAAGGACTGGGGCCAGGGGTTGGGGGAGCTCCCTGAGAATTGGAATGAAGAAATGGGAAGCAGGAGACCTCCTGCCCTGAAGACCTCTCCAGCTGTGGTAACTGAGAGGATGTGTGGGATGGAGGCTGGGCGGCCCAGCAAGGGCTGGCTCATATCCTTACTCAAGCCCAGAATCTTGGCAAGAGGCTTGGGAGGTCCTTTCTGAGTTTTAAAATGACCTCAGAGGCCACTCGTCCTATCTGTGGAGGTGCGGCCGTGCAGGAAGGGCAACATTGTCTAAAGTCCCCTTTCTCTCCAGGCTGTGGAGTCGGGGGCCCTGGAGCTCAGTCCCTCCTTCCACCAGAAGAACTGGCAGCACTGGTTTTCCCATATTGGGTAAGGGTAGGGTAAGGGGAGCTCTTGTGGAGATGGGGAGGGGGGACTGACTGGTTATTCTAAGACTTCACGAATGTCCTCCCGGCAGGGACTGGTGTGTCTCCCGGCAGCTGTGGTGGGGCCATCAGATTCCAGCCTACCTGGTTGTAGAGGACCATGCGCAGGTGGGTAGGAAGAAGCACCCGGAGGGCCGAGTGTGGCACAGAGCACCTAGCCCAGGAGTCAGAGCTCCGCAGGGCCAAGTCCCGCTCCTGCCTGGTCATGTGCTTCATGCTCATAGTCATGTAACCTTCTGCGCGATCAAGGCTCCCTGAAGTGGCATTTCTTTATCTCACCCCTGGGGGAACCTGGCCACTCTAAGACCACATGAGGACGTGAAAACCAAGTGACATTTACACCTGTCAGCTGTTCTTCCTCACTCTCCCCAACCCCTTCCTACTTTTGCAGGGAGAAGAGGACTGTTGGGTGGTTGGGCGGTCAGAGGCTGAGGCCAGAGAGGTAGCAGCGGAACTGACAGGGAGGCCAGGGGCAGAGCTGACCCTGGAGAGGGGTGAGTGCCTGAGCTGGGGAGGGATGTACAGGGGAGCGGGGGCCTGGGCATCTGGGCCTTTGAGGGGAACAGATCCCAAGATACAGAAGGTAGGGTCAGGAAAGTTGGGAATGGAGCCAAAGGGGACAGCCCTGGTCTCTGGGGGTGGGGGTTGGCCTAGAATGGTGGCAGCAGTGGTCTGAGGTCCTAGAAGCCAAGGTTCCAACTGTCCCCATTCTTTTTCTGTTTCCCAGATCCTGATGTCCTAGACACATGGTTTTCTTCTGCCCTGTTCCCCTTTTCTGCCCTGGGCTGGCCCCAAGAGGTGAGGTGGGTTGAGAGGGCGAAAGTGAAGGGGAAACGATAAGGAAGGGATGGCTGGGCCCCCACAGAGGCTTGAGGGGGGCCTGGGGCCTGGGCCTCTTACTGCTCCTCTTCCCCCTAGACCCCAGACCTTGCTCGTTTCTACCCCCTGTCACTTTTGGAAACGGGCAGCGACCTTCTGCTGTTCTGGGTGGGCCGCATGGTCATGTTGGGGACCCAGCTCACAGGGCAGCTGCCCTTCAGCAAGGTAAGAGCCCTTCAGTGCCCTGCCGCTTTCTGTGACTCCAGTGTTCCCCAAACCTTGTCCTCCCTTCTAACCCCTAATGTGGTCCTTTCCACGTTGCTGATTCCTTTTTCCTAATTCACTTCCTACCCTACCCCCAAAAGTATGGAGGCCAGAGATCCCAAGGCACCTCCAAGGAAACCCCCCTCTGTTGACCCCTCCCTGCCCCCAGGTGCTTCTTCATCCCATGGTTCGGGACAGGCAGGGCCGGAAGATGAGCAAGTCCCTGGGGAATGTGCTGGACCCAAGAGACATCATCAGTGGGGTGGAGATGCAGGTGAGGACGAAGCACCCACTAGAGGGACAAGGTTTGCAGGGTTTGCAGGAGAGAGGAAGGCAGGCTGAGGGAGGAGTGAGGCCAGCAGGTGTGACCCTTATAGAGGCAGGGCCTTCGACCTGGGTCGTGAATTGCCCCCTTCCATCCCCAGGTGCTGCAGGAAAAGCTGAGAAGCGGAAATTTGGACCCTGCAGAGCTGGCCATTGTGGCTGCAGCACAGGTGAGTCATCGCTGCCTGCCCCCCACCAGCTCTAGCTCACCACCTCTGGCTTCCTCTGCAACCCAGGTCCTGGCCCTGCAGCCACAAAGGCATCTGCCACCCTTCTTCTTCCTCTGGTTGCAGAAAAAGGACTTTCCTCACGGGATCCCTGAGTGTGGGACAGATGCCCTGAGATTCACACTCTGCTCCCATGGAGTTCAGGGTAAGCCTGGGCGAGGGGTGTCGGGGTGAGCAGAGGGCAGCGGGCACCTGTGCAGGGGCAGGGCAGGGGCAGGACTTCTGGTGCTGCTGCCACCTACATGCAGACTACCTCGATTCTTCCCTTCCAGCGGGCGACTTGCACCTGTCAGTCTCTGAGGTCCAGAGCTGCCGACATTTCTGCAACAAGATCTGGAATGCTCTTCGCTTTATCCTCAATGCTTTAGGGGAGAAATTTGTGCCACAGCCTGCTGAGGAGGTAAGAGAAAACAGAGGTGCTTGGGAGTAGGGTAGTCAGGTGTCAGAGGGCCAAGGTGGCATCTGGAAGGAAAGGAGGCAGGGGAGGGGGAGTCAGGCCATCCTGCCCCCTCTGCCTGCAGCTGTCTCCCTCCTCCCCGATGGATGCCTGGATCCTGAGCCGCCTTGCCCTGGCTGCCCAGGAGTGTGAGCGGGGCTTCCTCACCCGAGAGCTCTCGCTCGTCACTCATGCCCTGCACCACTTCTGGCTTCACAACCTCTGTGACGTCTACCTGGTGAGTGAGGCTGGGGGAGGCTTGGTATTCCCATGCCTGCTTCTAATTCCTCTGGAAATTTCCAAGGCAGAGAGCTCTGGAGTTAATAAGTTCCCAATTGTCCCCTCAGTTAGGAGAGGAGAGGAGACGAGGGAGTCTCAGTTCCCCTCTTCCTGGGACTGGTTTTGGCAGTGCAGCCCAGGCACTGTTGCCTGCCTGTCACCTGGGGAGAGGAGGAGGAGGGAGACTTCTAGAAATGTCTGACAAGTCGGTGTCAGAAGGCAGAGGGGAATTTTTTCAGTCCCTGTAGTTGCTGAGTTTGGCCCATGGGCAGGCTGCGTGCTGAGAGAGGCCTGGGAGGGACTAGCAGCGGTCTTTAGACCAGGGGTTCTCACGCTGTCCTACGTCCAAAGCACCTGGAGGGCTTGTTGACCGTGGATCCCCCCCGCTCCACTGCCACCCCAGAGTGGCTCCTTTAGCAGGTTGGGGTGGGGGTGGGTGGTGTAATGAATATTCATTTCTTGTCCCAAGTGGTGCTGCTGCTGCTGGCTGTGGACCACTGCCCTAGCTCAGCCTTTTAAAAACCTCTGTCCCCTGTTGATAAGCAAAAAACTCAATGATTTTTTTCCCTAAACTACATGTTTCCCTGGAAATCCTGTCCCTGTGTACTGCAGAGAATTGCTGTCCTGGAGTCCCCTTCTTTGTGCTGAGTGTGTCCTGGGACTGTGGATCATATCAGAAGTGCTAAGTGCTTCTGCCTGTCCCTCTCTCCCAGGACCCATGGCCTGCCCCACTGGCGGGTAGCAGTGGCTGTAGGGAGGAGGGCTGTGGCCCTGGACCTGTCCTCTGACCATTGGCTTCCTCTCCAGGAGGCTGTGAAGCCCGTGCTGTGGCACTCGCCCCGCCCCCTGGGGCCCCCTCAGGTCCTGTTCTCCTGCGCTGACCTCGGCCTCCGCCTCCTGGCCCCACTGATGCCCTTCCTGGCTGAAGAGCTCTGGCAGAGGCTGCCCCCCAGGCCTGGTTGCCCCCCTGCCCCCAGCATCTCGGTTGCCCCCTACCCCAGCGCCTGCAGCTTGGTGAGTCCCAAGCACCTTGGAGTGGGTCTGTGGGTGAATGGGGGGGAGCACCTTCTGAAGGGGTTTGCTGCAGGGGGCTCATCTGCAGGAATGGTTCGTACTTTACTGTGGAGCCCTGGGGAAGATGGATTGTTCCTGCAGGGTTGCTGCGATGACCCTAGGGTCTTGAGGGACAGTATTAGCGTAGTGCTCAAGAGCAGGACTCTGTTGCTAGACTGCTATTTTTGAGCTGTGTGATCGAGCCTCAGTTTCCCGCATGTTTAAACTAGGAACAGTAATAGTATATGTTATGGTTGTGATGAGGGTTGGATAAGTTAGTAATAGGGTGTCCCCAAAATCTCAGTGCAGCTTTAATAACTTCAGAAGGATAAATGCTATGAACTCACCCAAAAATTATTTTAAAATTTAACTATTTAAATTTATACTTATTTGGTTTTGAGTTTTGACTAATTCATTTTAAATTCTAATTTATTTTTGGTTGGCCATTTCAATCACAGCAACTAAACAGGCATCAAACACTGATCATCTAAAACCTCTTAAATGACGCCTCACTTTTTGTCATGTTCCTTGAGATAGTGGATTTTCTGTGGTGCTGAGGACAGATCTCATTGCCCTAAGGAGATGGGGTGGATGGGTCGAGAAGAGAGCCAGCAGGGTTGGTACTGAGTCTCCCAGGAGCCCCTTTGCCAATTCTGGGTCCCCCCCATTGCCAGGAGCACTGGCGCCAGCCAGAGCTGGAGCGGCGCTTCTCCCGGGTCCAAGAGGTCGTGCAGGTGCTAAGGGCTCTCCGAGCCACGTACCAGCTCACCAAAGCCCGGCCCCGAGGTGAGGCAAGGCGGGTCCTGGGCTCGGATCCCTGCAGGAAAAGGGGGCTGGTGGGGAAAAGAGCAGAGCCTGAAGGGCCAACCCCCCCGTTAGGAGGTGCAGGGTAGGAAGGGAGGCAGGAGCTGAGGCCTTGCCCCTGACAGTTTCTTTCTTTCCAGTGCTGCTGCAGAGCTCAGAGCCTGGGGACCAGGGCCTCTTCGAGGCCTTCTTGGAGCCCCTGGGCACCCTGGGCTACTGTGGGGCTGTGGGCCTGTTACCCCCAGGCGCAGCAGCTCCCTCCGGCTGGGCCCAGGCTCCACTCAGTGACACGGCTCAAGTCTACATGGAGCTGCAGGTGACCAGAGGGGATGGGGAGGGTTAGGGCAGGCTTGGGAAGCATGCTGGGAGGAAGGGAGGGGCTGGGCTCTATAAAGTAGGGGAAGGGACCTTCTAATGGAGGATGGAGGCCTGGCAGCAGGCGGATGTCTGAGCCTTTTCTCCCTGTTCTTCCCCAGGGCCTGGTGGACCCGCAGATCCAGCTACCTCTGTTAGCCGCCCGAAGGTACAAGTTGCAGAAGCAGCTTGACAGCCTCACAGCCAGGACCCCATCAGAAGGGGAGGCAGGGACTCAGAGGCAACAAAAGGTAAGGCTGAGGGAGGCCCCCAGAAGGCTCCACCCCTGAGGGAATGTGGGCCAGGAGGGGCCTCATTCCTGGATCCTCACCTCCTTTTCTCCTCGTCCAGCTTTCTTCCCTCCAGCTGGAATTGTCAAAACTGGACAAGGCAGCCTCTCACCTCCGGCAGCTGATGGATGAGCCTCCAGCCCCAGGGAGCCCGGAGCTCTAACTCATCATCCCCATCAGTTTTCCTCCCTCTCAGACCTGTCTTTGAGGACAAACAGATTTGTCAGCTGTCAGGGTGCAGTGGGACGTCAGAGACTATGTGGTCCATCGCCTTCATTGTGTAAATGAGGACACAGACTGGCTTGGTCGCAGTGACTGTGGTGTCCTTGAGATGCTCACATTACTGCCCGGCCTGCCTCCCACCTGGAAGTCTGGGAATGAGGAGATTGAGATAAACTTTTGAAATCCCAAACATGTCTGTTTATGGCTCTTTGGTCCCCTTTGCTCCCAGTGGTGACTTTTGTGCTTCTGAGTTGTCCCCTGAGAGCTTGGTCTGGGAAAAGAGGAGGAGGGGTCCTCGCTGGAGGAAGAGGAACTTTCTAGTCATGGGTAGGGTATGGGCACAGTGGTTCCGGTTCTACCTACTTTCTGGACTAACTGACAGTGCCCTGGCTTTTGCAGGCTCTTTCTCCTCCACTTCTCACTAAATGGAAGCTTCCCCGCTCCTTGGCTGTATCCCTAGAGGTGCTGAGAGAAGTAGGACTTCCTCCAGACCTGATGGGCTGCAGGCTGTGCTGCAGATGGTGTGCCCCCACCTTCTGTGCTCTGACACCTGAGTGCCCAGCCTCTGAGTTACACATTCACAGCACAGCCAGCCACCTTACCCACGCCAAACACCATCTCATCTCCATGGAATTCAAGGGCCTGGCCCTTCCACGCCCAGAGTACATTCTGTCCAGCAGCTCTGAGTAGCCTGTCCTGGGCTGGGTCCTCTGTGGTGCTAGATGTACAATGCCATTTAATCCTACTGAAAACCTCATGAGGCGGGTGTTAGCTCCATTTTGGAGATTTTTATTTTTACTTTATTTTTGGGACAGGGTCTCGCTCTGTTGCTCAGGCTGGAGTGCAGTGGCATAATCATGGCTCACTGTAGCCTCAACCTCCAGGGCTCTAGTGATCCTCCTGCCTCAGACTTCTGAGTAGCTGGGACCACAGGTGTGCACCACTGTGCCCTGCTACTTTTTTTTTTTTTTTTTTTTTGGAAACGGAGTCTTGCTTTGTCACCTAGGCTGGAGTGCACTGGTGAGATCTTGGCTCACTGCAACCTCTACCTCTCTGGTACAAGTGATTCTCCTGCCTTAGCCTCTTGAGTAGCTGGGATTACAGTTGTCTGTCACCACGCCCAGCTAAATTTTTTTTGTATTTTTAGTAGAGACAAGGTTTCACCATGTTGGCCAGGCTGGTTTTGAACTCCTGACCTCAAGTGATCTGCCTGCCTCGGCCTCCCAAAATGCTTGGATTACAGGCATGAGCCACCATGCCCAGCCCTGCCCTGCTAATTTTTAAAATTGTTCTGTAGAGATAGGGTTTTGCCATGTTGGCCAGGGTGGTCTTGAACTTCTGGGCTCAAATAATCCACCTGCCTTGGCCTCCCAAGGTGTTGGGATTACAAGCATAAACCACTGCGCCCAGCCCCCATTTTGGAGATGAAGACGTGTGCTCAGAGAAAAGTCTCCACTGGGACCTAACCCAATAAATTAGGTGCAGGCTCTTTCTGGCTGCTGTAACTAAACTTCAAATATAATGGTGGCTTAGATGAGGTGGATGTTTCTTCTGCTGGGCATAAGTAGTGCAGAGATCTGCAATAATGGGAGCCCACACCTCCTTCAATCTTATTTTCCTGCCATTCTGATGCATTGTCAAACTTCATGTCCAAGGTCTGCACCAGCTCCCATCACCGTGTCTGCATTTCCACCCAGAGGGAGGAGGGAAAGAAGGGGATGGGCAGTTTTCTTTTTCTTTTTACTCTGTTTCAGCAAGGTGTTTTTTTTTTTTTTTTTTTTTTTTTTTTTGAGCACCTGCTATGGATGGGCTGGGCCTTATTCTGGACACTTAGATTCATCAGTGAGTGAAACAAAATTCTGTGCCCTTGTAGTACTTTCCTTCTAGCAGGACAGTCAGAAATAACATACAAATGAGTGAACGATATACTATGTTTGAATGTCATGAATGCAGGGGAGGGAAAAAGGATAGAACAAGGTAAGGGGACTCTAATGTGTTTGTGTGGCGGGGGGCAGGTTGTACTTTTAAATAGTGGGTCAGGGCAGAACTCACTGTAAAGGTGAGGTTTAAGCAAAGGCTTGTAGGAGGTATAGGAAGAGCGTTCCAGACAAAGGGAAGGGCCAGAGGAAAACAGATAGAGGCATGGTCAGACAGCTCGAGGAGTAGCCTGGAGACCAGTGTGGTGGGGCAGAGTGAGAAGGGGAGGATGGTGGGAGGTGGAGAAACAGAGGTGAGGGTGGGGAATTGGTGGGGGGTAGGGAAGACTCAAGGCGGACAATCTGGGGCTTGTGTCCAAAATGGTAGCCAGTTGGCTACCTAAAGCATTAAATAAAATAAAAACGTTCAGTTTCTTAGTCGTACTTGCCATATTTCAAGTGTTTTGGTAGTTGCATGTGGCCAGTGGCTACTATGTTCGTCAGCACGGTTATAAAACATTTCCATCATCACAGAAAGTTCTATTGGAAAGCACTGATCTAAGACCTTATAGGCTGTTTCAAGAACTTTGCTTTTCCTCCTCTGAAATGGAAGCTCCTTTCTTTTCAAGGATACTACCAGAAAGTTGCCCACCTCCTTTCTACTTGCATCCTATTGGACAGAACGTGATCACATGGCCACAGCTAGCTGCAAGGGAGGCTGGGAAATGTAATGATCCACATGCTGAGTTGAAATCTACATGACTATCCAAAAGGAGGAGGATGGCTGTTAGGGGGGCCAGTTAGCAGTCTCTGCCACCCCCAGGTCTGGTGAACCCCAAAGCACTCTTCACTGCACTGCTCTGTTTTGAGCCTTGGGAGACAATTCTTTGAGAAAAATAATCTGGAAATCACATCCTGGTGATCTCAGGCCCTGAAGTCTAGGAACCAGGTTGAGGTGCATTTAGCTGTCTGCTCTACCAACCTCTTGGACATTCAGATATCCAGTCCCCCAACTTGTTTGGGGATCCTCACAGCTGCCCCATGGGCGTCACCTGCCCATTACTGCAGGCTAGGGGCAAGTCATAAAATACTAGTCTCCTTTGGAGCCCCCTGCTACCTCTCCTTGGGGGCTAATTGTCCCAGGACAGTTGTGAAGGAAGGTAGACCAATTTTTTAAGTGTTTTTTTTCCACCCTGCCATTTTCTATGCTCCCCTCATCTTCAGTGATGCTCCATACTGAACTCTTGTTGTCTTCTGTCTCCAAAGGAGTCAGTCTCCAATTTCATATGGAGATAATGGAGGGTTGTGTAGGTGTGGGGGGCAGAGTGGGTACCACAGAGGACAGAGAGCAATCCTATCAGTACCCCCCACTGCTCAAGTCTGAGCTGCAAGTTTGTGTTTTGAGAGCTGGTGAGAAGTCAATTTTTTTTTTTTTTTTTTTTTTTTTGAGACAGAGTCTTGCTCTGTAGTCCAGGCTGGAGTGCATGGTCTTGGCTCACTACAGCCTCTGCTTCCCAGGTTCAAGCAATTCTGCCTCAGCTCCCCGAAGTAGCTGGGACTACAGGCACATGCCACCATGTCCAGCTAATTTTTGTGTTTTTAGTAGAGATGGCGTTTCACCATGTTGGCCAGGCTGGTCTTGAACTCCTGACCTCAGGTGATCCACCTGACTTGGCCTCCCAAAGTGCTGGGATTACAGGCGTGAGTGAGCCACTGCGCCTGGCCAAGATAATCTTGAGAAGGTGGTCAGGAGTGCCTGCCTCAGAAATCAGCATAAGGAGGACCCTGAACCCCAGGGGACTAGGAGTTATATGTTGGGACCAGGTTTCCATCCTAACAGCAATCCCTACCATCCTGCCGACGACCTATAAGACAGGCTGTGATATGTCCCTAAGTAGCTTCCCTGTGTGATCCTCACAACAACCTGATGGTGCAGGAATAATGAGAAAAACTCAGAATTGTGTAAAAACAAAACAAAACAACAACAACAAAAACCTTCCCCCAAACTGGGAGGGAGCTGAGAGGCCAAAAAGTGACTCAGACAAGTCCAGCTTGGTGAGTAGATGAGTTTTTTAGGACTTACATACAAGGCACTCCTGGATGGCAGCAGGACAGCTTTAGAGATCCGTGCTGCCTCCCATGCTAAAGCTGCTTTCAAGCTAATTTTCTGACTCTGCCGACTGTGTGTGTGCGAATGGACTGTTTTCCTTGGTGGGTTCCCAGATACTCTCCGGGATGTTTGGGTTCTCAGGGACACCTGCTCCTCGGCCAGGCACCGTGACCTTGGCTCGCCACCTGGCCTTCAGGATTCAGGCAGTGGCATACACCGTTAAGTAACCTGGTAGGGGACCTGTCACACTACAGCAGGTACCATCATTGTTCCCATTTTGCGAGTGAAGAAATGGAGGCTCCAAGAGGATAAGAAACATGCCCAGGAATTCACATGTGGGCTGGTGTCACCTCATACTCACATGGTTAACCAGGACAGGCTCAGCTTGCACCTGGCCTCTCCTCCCCAGCACTTGCGCCTGGCTGGGCATCCTCTCACAAGCTGAACCCGTCATCTCTCACCTGAGTGCCCACCCACCTCCCACCCCAATTACCTGTGTGGATCCATGGGCCAGGGGAACCATGTCCTGGGGGTGTTCTGCCTATGTCTCTTTCTTTGGTTTTTGAGCCCCTGGCCCCAATGCTTAAGCAAAGGGAAATGAAATAAAAATCTTGCTTAAACCAAGACCTCTGTCTAGTGCCTGACTTCTCCACTGCTATTAGATCTCAGGTGAGTGACTTGCCCTCTCTGAGCTTCAATTTCCTTATCTGTAAAATAGGATAATGATACCTAGTATGCCACATTCAAGACTGCTGCAAGCATCGAAATAGGGATGCAGGAGAAAAGCAGGACTTCAATAAATGTTGCTTCTCTTTATTCCCAGGTGTTCCAAAGATCTCAATTTGGTGTGTGTTCCTATGCATGCGTATATGTGTGTGGTGTGTGTGTCCCCAAACAACTCCCCAGATGCCTTGTAGGCCTGTGACACTGGTGTTGAGGGAGACATTGTCCATCCCTGGAACCCTCTGCTCAACAGGGGGACAGTCAGAGACTTGAGCATCCAACCCCCACTTCCTGCCAGCTCTGTGCTCAGGGACCCACAGAGTCAAGCAAGTTATTGAATTCAGCATACCGAATTTTATTTATTGCCGCTCAGGAGGGTGGGGGCCTGCTGAAAGACAGGGTCGGGGCCTGCCTCCTGCATCCCCGGCCCAAAAGCCCGGGCCAAGAAGGACACAGGCTTCAATGGCTGTCATGTGTTGCAGACAACATGGTGTTGAGATCTTGCATGGTGGAGGGTGACGCTGGTCCCTGAAGGGAGATGGAGGAGGAGGCAGAGCTGGGAACAAAGGGTTAAAGGGCGCCATGTAAGAGAGCTCTCCATTCCCACCACGGAGACATCCAGACCCCAGCAGAGGCCCAAACTGACTCACAAACACACAGCCCCATCTTTCCCCTTCCAAAGAACTACCTTTTCAAGCAATTCCAGGAAGCTGGACTCATAGGAGGAATTTGTCAGAAAAGACTCCTTCAGCTTCAGTTGCAAAGTCATACCCGGCCCTGCGGATCCAGAAGTACAGCTTAGGACCCAGCAGTCAGGGCTGATTCCTCCGGAGACACAGAACCTTCCTGCTCACGCTCCCCGGCACAGTTCCTCTTCCCCAGCAATGCCCCTCCAGAGCCTCTTGGAAGCTCAGGACTGGGGTGTCTCTGTCACTCTCAGGGACCATGAAGTCCCACCCCTTTTCTCTGGCCTCTTCTTGCCACAGGGACCCAGGAGTCCTGCCCTCTAGCCCTCACCTGTTCCATGTGAGCTGCCAAGGAGGGTCAAGAGGAGGACAAGGGGCAGCCCAGACCCCATAGTGGCCACTGCGCTCCTGGGATGGAGGAGACACTGAAGTCCCGGTGGCCTCTCCTTAACAGGCCTGTTTCTACACCCCACTCAAGCCTTAGCATAAGTGTTTGAGGGGAAATGGGAGGAGGAATCTGGTCAACTGGATTTTCCAGTTCTCCCAGTAAGAGAGGACCCAGGAGAGGACCATTCACTGTGCTTTTGGGGAAAATAGAAGGAAGTCCCCTCTTTTCCACTCTGTGTCCCACCCCTCCCTTGTGTCTCCAGGTTTGAGGGAGTGAGTGCGGGTCCTACAGACAGGGAAATGGAGAGGGAAGCGGGGACCAGGGAGGCGTCCCTCCTGCAGGTGTCTGGGCCCCCACCCATGCCCGGGCCTCCCAAGGATCTTTAGAGATTAATTATTAACTGCAGCTAATTTTCATCATTCTTGACACCGAAGGGCTCAGGAATGTGGGCCCAAAAGGGAGGGGTGGATTAAGCCAAGTTTCTTCCAGAACCCAGGTGTCCTGCTCCCTCAGGTTTTTTTTTTTTAAACACTAGTCAAGTGCAGTAGTGAAAAGAGTAGAAGGAGTAGAACAAGGAGTTGGGTCTATAATGGACTGTGAACACTGCTTCCCCAGCCTTGGTGGCTTTCTAGATGAGAAATCTGGTCATGGGAACTTCCATTGCTGAACATTCTGTTTTACTTGCTCTAACGCATCCTGGATTGTCAGGGGGAGACACGAGTTTCCTCAGACATCCTCTCACTCCTGCCTTGTGCACCCATGAAAAGGGGACACCCACCTACTCCCGGCCGAGATGCCTACAGGCAAGCGCTGGGACAGGCAAGCACAGGACAGATGTGCAGAGGGAGTTACTGACCCTCTTTAGAAACTAGGAAAGTAAGGCACAGAGAGGGTAAGTGACCTGCTAAGGTCACCCAGCCAACAAGTAGCAGAGAGATTAGAACCCATCCCTCTAGCCAGACAAAGAGACACACCAGCCATGGAAACTTGCTTGAACACACAAGGGCACAGGCCAGCATCTTCCTATCTGCCACTTCCCTATGCAGCCTCTCCACCTTCCCCAAAGCCAGCGGGACTGAGCACAGAGAGACAGAGGCAGAGAGAGCACTGGGCAGAGGTGGGGAGAGCAAAAGCAAGATGGGGAAACAGAGATAGAGGCCTGGTCTGCACTGTAAGTGTAAAGTGAGGCAACCAATGACTCCCAGACTTGCACAGGACAACAGGAAGACCACAGTGGGAAGAAAGCATGGAGGAGAAGAGCAGCAGGCACAGGAGGGACGAGCAGGAGGTAGAATTGGGAACACAGAGAGATCTTCCTCGGAGAAGAGTAAGGGCCCTCCCTCCCTCCCTCCCTCCCTTCCTCCCTCCCTCTCTCCCTCCCTCCCTCCCTCCTTTCCTTCCTTTTTTTTTTTTTTTTTTGACAGCGTCTCATCCCTGTCGCCCAGGCTGGGGTGCAGTGGTGCAATCTTCTCCTGGCTCAGCCTCCCGAGTAGCTGGGATTACAGGCACCCGCCACCACAGCAGGCTAATTTTTGTATTTTTAGTAGAGACAAGGTTTCACCATGTTGGCCAGGCTGGTCTCCAACTCCTCACCTCAGGTGATCCACCCCCTCGGCCTCCCTGAGTGATGGAATCACAGGCGTGAGCCACCGCACCTGGCCTCCCCCACACTTTCTACAGCCATGTGCTAGGCTCATCACTAAGTATTCCTTTATAGCGCATAAGCGCCTGTGAAGTAGGTACTAGATTACCCCGATTTTAGAGGTGAAATTAAGACTTAGGCCTTGTGACTTGCCAGAGAATGCACAGCTCAGCAGTGGTGGATTCCAGTGCAGTGGACTCAGCCCTGGTACTGAGCTTCTGAGGATTCAGGGCTGTCTGGCTCCAGAGCTGGGGTCTGACCTTCCATATCACACTGTCCCCAAACATGACACGTGTCTTCCTTGGTGCCCCTTATCTCCCCTTTCCCCTTCCCTGTCAAAGGAATGGAAAGCTCTGTGAGCTGCAGCCATCTAGGTGAGAGACGGCTCAGGTATTGACCTTCCCAGCCCACTCTTAGGTTTCCAGAAGGTCAGATGCAGTCCTAGACCCTCATGGTTCCCCTACAACCCCAGCTTCCAAATCCTGCTTCCCTGAGGGACTCATACGTCCTGACTTCCAACGGTTGTACTTCTAGGAACAAGAGGATGACCTTGGGATAGGTCATTTGGGTCTCCCCTTTTAAAGGAGGGTCTGGGCTGTGAATTGACTCAGACCTGGGGGACAGGTCCCTAGTCCAGGAAGAGCCCAAGGGCCAGGTGGGGGAGCCCGCAGGCTCTTACTCACTCTCCCCCTCACCCTGTGCTTCCTGGGATCAGGCTGGGACAGGTTAATCCCCTGGGACAACTTGGCGACCTCTCTCTGGGGATGGAGATTCTGGTGTTGGTGGAGGCCCCGGCACAACTGGCTCTCCCGGGACTCATAATAGGCCCCAGAGCCTTTAAAGAGCCTGGGAGATGGGCCTGGCCAACACACTTCAACTGGTGCCATGGACACTGTGCTGGTGCTGCTCCTGGGCCTGCAGGCCTTGGCCGGACCCAGTGAGCACTTGGGCCCAGACAGGGGGTCTTGAGGAAGGACATGAATTTGGGACCCAGTGGGATGGCCAACTCTTCTAACCCCGTTCTATGGTTTATCTTCTTTTTTCAACAGTTCAGCTGACCCTACTGGGGACTTCTGACACAGTATCCCCAGGTCTCCCCTGTCTCTGGAAGTCTCCCCACTGTCTCTGGAAGTCTCTCCTCTGTCTCTGGAGCTCTCCCCGGTTTCTGGAAGTCTCCCACTGTTTCTGGAAGTCTTCCCACTATCTCTGGAGGTTTCCCCACTGTTTCTGCAACTGTCCCCACTATTTCCAAAAGTTTCCCTACTGTCTCTGAAATCTTCCCTCTGTCTCTGGAGGTCTCCCCACTATCTCTGCAACTGTCCCCACTATCTCTAGAAGTCTCCCTACTGCCTCTGGGAGTGTCTCAACAGTTTCTTCAAACTCTGGGAGTTTTCCCAGCAGTCCTCAGTCTTTAGCTCCAGCCGTTTCTGGGAGCACTTCAGGAACAGTCTCCACATCATCAGGTGATATTTCTGTTGCTCAACCCATCTCGGGAGAACCCTTCAGCTCGGTCTGTAGCTCTGGGGTGGGGCTTCCTGCAAGCCTGGCAGTTTTCCAGAACCTCAGTGGAAGCAGCTCCCTTGCCTTTGTGGCTATACAAGGGCCTCTCTTTCTGTTTTCCAATTCATCACCTTTTTCTGTCATGATTAGTTCCTGTTGTATCCTAAGACTTTTTTGGCTACTTCAAGGTCATGAAAATATTCTCCTCTGCATTCTTCCAGAAACGTTATTATTTTAGCTTTCAAATTTAAGTCTATTATCCATCTCAAGTTAATTTCTGTGTATGGAGCGAGGTGGAAGTCAAGATTCATTTTTTCTTCTTATGAATATCCAGAACCATTATTTCCAAGGACCCTCCCCTGTCCCTGCCATTGAACGGTGAGCACCTATCCTGAAAGTCAAGTGACTATTTGTGTGGGTTTTTCGGTAAGTTTTTTTTTTTTTTGAGGTGGAGTTTCACTCTTGTTGCCTAGGCTGGAGTGCAATGGCGCGATCTCGGCTCACTGCAACCTCCGCCTCCCGGGTTCAAGCAATTCTCCTGCCTCAGCCTCCGGAGTAGCTGGGATTACAGGCGCCTGCCACCACACCCAGCTAATTTTTTTGTATTTTTAGTAGAGACGGGATTTTACCATGTTGGCCAGGCTGGTGTCGAACTCCTGACGTCAGGTGATCTGCCTGTCTCAGCCTCCCAAAGTGCTGGGATTACAGGTGTGAGCCACTGCACCCGGCCTATCAGTCAGTTCTTACTCCAGGGCCACAGTGCTTAAGGACTACAGATTTGTAGCAAGTCTTGAGATCTCATAGTGTAAGTTCTCCCTTTTTTTTTTTAAGAGAGTGTCTTGGTTATTCTCAGTCTTGATTTTCATAACATTATTTCATCAGTTTATTCCAAAAACTTGCTGGAGTCTTGCCTGTGGGTGCATTTGATGTGACTTCTGCTTTGCTCTTGCTTGAATCTCTTCTGTTTTTTCCCTCTGCCCTCTTAGGACCTGCCTCATCCAGTGCTCCCGGAACAGCTCCAACTGTGCCTGGGACTTTAGCACTGAGTGTTGCTGTCTTAGGAGTTCCACTGCCACCATGGCTGGGTGGCCACCACGTCCTCTGGGCTCAGCATCCTGGCC